>NC_000006.12:67155836-67458867 GCF_000001405.40 Homo sapiens | reverse complement strand
ATCTCTTAATCCTGTTATCTTCGTAAACTGAAGATGTAGGTCACCTCAGGACCACTGTGATAATTGTGTTAACTGTACAGATTGATTGTAAAACATGTGTGTTTGAACAATATGAAATCTGTGCACCTTGAAAAAGAACAGAATAACAGCGATTTTTAAGGAACAAGGGAAGACAACCATAAGTTCTGACTGCCTGTGGGGTTGGGCAGAAAGAGCCATATTTTTCTTCTTGCAGAGAGCCTTTAAACGGATGTGCAAGTAGGAGAGATACCGCTAAATTCTTTTCCTAGCAAGCAATATTAATATTACCCTGGGAAAGGAATGCATCCCTGGGGGAGGTCTATAAACAGCTGCTCTGGGAGTGTCAGTCTCATGCAGTTGAGATAAGGACTGAGATATGCCCTGGTCTACTGCAGTACCCTCAGGCTTACTAGGGTCGGGAAAAAACTCTGCCATCGAAAATTTGTAGTCATACTGGTTCTCTGCTCTCAAACCCTGTTTTCTGTTGTTTAAGACATTTATCAAGACAATATGTGCACAGCTGAACATAGACCCTTATCAGTAGTTCTGCTTTGCCTTTTTCCTGTTCCCTCAGAATCATGTGATCATTGTTCTGCTTTTTGCCCTTTGAAGCATGCGATCTTTGTACCTACTCCCTGTTTTACACCTCCTCCCCTTTTGAAACCCTTAATAAAAAACTTGCTGGTTTGAGCCTCAGGTGGGCATCATGGTCCTACCGATATGTGATGTCACCCCCGGTGGCCCAGCTGTAAAATTCCTCTCTTTGTACTCTTTCTGTTTATTTCTCAGCCGGCTGACACTTATGGAAAATAGAAAGAACCTACGTTGAAATAATGGGGGCATATTCCCCTGATAACACACATTTAAACAACTAAATTTTGCAAGAACTCACTCACTATCAAGAAGATAGCACTAAACCATGAGGGATCCACTCCCATGACCCAAACACCAGGCCCTATCTCCAGCATCAAGGATTATAATTCAACATGAGATTTGAGCAGGGACAAGCTATATCAATGATCTACTGTTTGTCATTGGAAAAACAGAAGTTTAGAAGCAGTTGCAACATTCTTTCAGGGTGCTCTGTAGGTATCATCTAGGATAGTGATGATGAGAAGATAAATCACAGGACATGTGGGATAGCTGTTCTTAAGGAAAAATCTATAGTCCTTAGACTAAAAAATATAAAAAGAAGCTGAAGTATTTGAAACTGTGTTTGAATATTAATAAAACTTCAGTGAATAAGATTATTTTGAAAAAAATTATAATTTTGGTTGTTATTGAAAAATTATAAATTTGGTTGTTATTTAAAACATGGTTTGCATTCAGGTAAAATTTTCCAGTAACAAATTGTGATTACAGCACTGAGACTTTGTAGATCATTAAGGATTAGTATTTTGATCTGTGATCCATCCATATAAGTAACAGTAAAAACCACTAGAATGAATGAGATAATTGAAAGTAGCTTTGTAGATAAAGAAAGGAATTTTTCTAAGAGTAAAATTTATTTAGCAAATGAGTGAATAAAGAAATCAGAGAAGACAATACAAAAAGAAAAGTAATAGAGGTATATGAAAAATTGAAAGGTCAATAACCATGAACAAGACAGAGTTGTGAGAGGATTCTAGGTAAAGCAAAGCAAGGTAAACTGCCAAATATCCCCATCTCATATCATAACCAATGAGCTCTCTGAATTCACACTGAGGTTTAAATGTAAAATAACCAAGGGGCTTTTGACTTAATTTTGCATATAGACCCCTCAGCCATCACCCAAAAGTGTTATCAAGCCATCTAGGCAAATAAATAGTCTTAACAAAAATAAAGTTGAAAAAATAAAATTGTTCCCATTTATTCCAACAACTAAGGGCCCAACGATTTGGGGTCACCAAGTGTCTAGCCACAAGATTGGCAAGCTGCTTGGGACTATGGTGAGGCAGAGTAAAATCCAACTGCTGTAGTACAAGTAGGACAACATGTTAGCTCTGCTCAGTGAGAAGACAATTACATTGAAAGGACAGCCGTAGATTAGGGAGTGATACATAGGTCATTACAAGAGGAAATTGAGGCTTGTATACAGCAAACATGGACTTATCATGAGGAAAATCAAGATGAGCTTATTTTCAGGTACTGAACTGACCTCCTTTACGCTGCTGTAAAAGATTCTGGGACTGTGCAAGTTCCTCACTGCAGCTATGCCTTCAAGAGGACCTTGCCCATGAAGAATATCAGCAGCTGGTGGTCTTTGCAGATGGCCATGTATCTACCTCTCACCTTTTTGTTGTTGTTGTTGTTGTTGTTGTTGGGTAGGATTGGATAGGAAACCTAACTGGGTGACTTCTCTTCTCAAAGAATTGAAAGAGGACTGTGATAATACCAAGAAAAAACATAGAAAAGCCTTTTAGAAGAAACTATTGATGGCCTTATTGAAATGGACTTCCAAAGACTGGTGGTCAGACTTCCCCAGGAATTTTTGCTCCAGGCCAGAATAGTTGAGGTGGTTTAGTGCTAAAGAAGTGGGAAGAAAAAAAAAAAAAAACCAACAACTTTGGAGTACGCTTAGCTGGACTCAATACCAAGGAACCGATTTTCTGTCCTTCGTCTTCCACACAATTTTCTATCCTTTTCCTCCATCACTGGGGAGGCCTGAATGGATTTTCTACTGTGGGGCTTTGTAAATAATATGAATATCTCTCTACTTGGTAGGTATAAATTTAAATTTAAAATCACTTTTTTTAAAAGATATGCTGGGTGGGGAGCATAGGGGAAAATTGTTTTCTAATTTTTTATGTGAACCACAGAAACAAAACAAACAAAAACACTTAATGAAGAAAGATGCTGTCGAGGTTTTAATGCAGTGTAAGGACCTTTTAAATTTATGTTACATACTTAAATATATATTTCAGGTATATTGGAAGCATTTCCAATTCCCAGCCATGCTTTGCATTTCCATAATTAACACAGAAAGGCAGTTGTCTGAGTGCTGGGCCTTGCAATGGATTGAATGTTTGTGCCTCACAGAATTCATACATTTAAATCTTAAATTTCAATGTGATGATAGTATTAGGATGCGGGGCCTTTGGTAGGTAATTAAGTAATCAAGGTGGAGCCCTCATGAATGGGACTAGCACCCTTATAAAAGGAATCACATAAAGTGCTCTTACTTTTTCTGCTATTGAAATATACAACAAGCAGTGAACAGTCTGCAACCTGGAAAGAGAACATACCCTAGAACACACCCTAGAACACAACTGTGATTGCATCCTGATTTCAGACTGCAAGCCTGCAGATCTGTAAGAAATCAACATTTATTTTTTATTAGTCACTCAATCTATGGTATGTTGTTACCACAGCTAAAACAGACTACAACAGGTCTTTTTCAACCCATACTTGTAAAAATAATTTAAATCAAATATAAAAGTGTCTTTTTTCAGTAAATGAGTATTTCATACAAGCTTTTTTTTTTTTTCTCAGAATGCTCTAGTCCCTACTCTCCCTTCTAATTTTAATGATCCTCAATACCAGTTGCTCATGTTATAGAAAATGATCTTCCACAGTGATTCTTTTGTGAGCTTTCTTGGACAGAGTTAAATTCTGTATTAGTAACTAAGTGTCACTGAGATGTTTGTGCCAATAGATTATAAACTATCTGGGAGTTGATGTCTTTACGAGGTCTTGCCCACTGTAAACTTGGGCTCCTGTCTATGTGTGATTAGTCCATTCAGAACAATACCATGTTGGGGGAAAGAAGCTTTCTATATTTTTAAGACATTATTAAATATTTATCTCTAGAAGGGATGTGAGTTATTTCTACAGAGCTTATCACCTCTTCTTGACTTTGTTGCCAAATCAACACCTTAATGATCACTGACTTTTCTAATGCCCATTGTAAATGCTATGGTTTCATCTGAAATGTGACCCCACTCCTTGCTAGTATGCTCACATCTCCTTGGGAATAAATAGCATAGGTCAAACCCATTTTTTACAATATAAATATTATCTAAATGGAATTAATATGTTCCAAAGCTGAAAGTGTTTCTCACCTAAAATCAGAGGCATAGAGTAATGCTGAATTAAGAAAAATAAACTATAGGATGGAGATAAGCTTGAATATGAGCACACATATTTGCATTATAGATGTGGCATCTCAGAAGAGAACAAGAGGCATAACTGATGAACTATCTGCCAGATTAATAGACTGTGATGATCCCCAGTGATATGCAAGGGCACACACTGTGTTTGTCTTTCGTAGTGTTGGACAATTTGGGATCCTTAAATCTCATTTTCTAGATGAGCGTATGGTGCTGAAACGTTATACATATACTGATTCAGATACTGAACACCAATAGATTTTTAAAAATACTAGAAGATTTATGTAAGAAGAACTGGAACACACAATTCTCCAACCATCCTACAAAATAACAAATTAAATTTTGCTTCTCTTCACTGTGCCACAATTCTTCTCAAGGATCATTTCTCACTTTTTCCTCCAATAAGAAACAAAACCAGTTACACCATAAATCAAGGATATTTTTCATCAGAGGATTTATATAGTTCTGTATGCAATATCTTAGAGCACAAATTAATTTCTTAAATGTTGCAATAGATTTTATTTGAATATTTTAACTTATTTAAGTTTACACAGCTAAACTAATTTTTTAATTAAAAAAAAGAAAGAGATTTTTGCAGTGAAACGCAGATGACCTCAAAGATTTTTGTTCTATTTCATATTATAGTGTTGACTCTAGAAAGAGGGAATTATGAAAGAATATAACTATTTCTAGACAATAGAATAAAATAGAAATGGTGTATGACACTGCTGTGAAGAGATTAAATATCTTGTGTACATTCCCCACTGCTGTTTACCTTTTTTAGTTACCAAGGAGGTAATACGTTGAATAGGGCAGCGTCCTAAAATGGAATGAGTCTCGATACCTTAGTAACAGCTTGAAGAAAAATTTCCCAGAAAAAAACACTCAACCAGCATCTCCATTAGATTTTTCCACAAGTAATGAAGAACTATGAATTGAAGTTGCATTTAAGCCCCAAGTGCTGTAAATTTTACTATAAAAGAAGTTGAGGAATTGCAGGAAGATATAATCAAAGAGAGATGTTCCTTTTATAATATTGTTTCTGAGCATTAACAAATTTCAATATCTACATTAGATTTTTCCATAAGTAATGAAGAAACTTGTATTTAGTAACTCTGATTTTGAAAGTACATTAATGTATCAAGTATTGTAATTTTTACTAATGAAAGAAAGAAGTCAAAGATTTGCTGACAGAAATAACCAAAGAGAGAAGAGAAATGTTAGTTTCATCATATCACTTATGAACATATGAAAAGTGCTGCAAAGAATTTGAGGAAGATGTATGCTGTTAAAAATCTATGATATTCAAAATTAAGAATACAGTGGGATTCCATTATAAATGGGACAGCTTTTAAATTCAACTGGTCATAATTGAGGACTCAACAAGATCCATGCAGAAGTGTGTGCGTGTGTGTGTATGTGTGTGTGTGCACATGTGTGCAAGAAAGAGGGGGTGAGAAAGGAAGGAGTGAGGAAGAGGGAAAATGCATTAAGGGACTATTAATAGAGAAGATACTCTTTGCATAGTTAATAGCTGAATTTAGGAGCATTTGTGGAACAAATAAGCCTTGAGAGAGATAAAAGATACCAGAGACAGACAAAGATTTGAAAGAAAATTAAGGAAGTCATAAAAAAAGCATGAATAAAGAATTGAGAATAAAATCCAATAGTTAGGATATTGGGATTAAGGATATGACAATATCTTCTTAACTATTTTGGGGATTGGGGATGTTGTGTTCCTGTGAGAAGTTTATTTAAATTAACTGGCTTCAATTTCTTTCTCTGTCAAATAAAAAATGAGAAAATAGAAAATCTGTTTCCTCAGATTTCTATTTTATTAGATATCCTTTCTAATATTCCATAGCTTAAAAGTTGTGAAACTTCTAAATATATGCACATAATTTTAAATAAGGAATTGCATTTGCCAAGGTAAAAACAGTTCTTGAAATCCTGTATTACTTTTTCTCACTAAGTTAAATAAGGCTCCACATATTATAATGTATAAATCTCCAGTTAGAAAATAAGCATTACCTCAGCCTTTGTCATGTAGTTTCTGGAGTGATTGCATTTCACTACCTCTGAAGACAGAAAGCAGACAAGCCAAGCTCAAGATACTTCATTTTGAAAATGTGAAAATAAATGTTTTATCTTCCACCATTTTTTCTATAAAAAGAATAAAATATTATCATACTTCCTTGATGAAAGCACAAGGGATGGGACTAAAGAAGACATATGATCAAATGATTGACACTGTAACTTTCCTGATTTAGAAAGATTGAGATATGCATCATTGTAATTCATATTTAGAAATGTCAGAGAGGATGCTATTTCTATCCCTGAGACAGTGAGAAAGTAATGACATAAGCAGAAACATTTCCACTCCTAAAATGTTGAATTAATTGCTAACTTTCCAAAATCATTTCAGCTCTGAATGCATTCAGGCTCTAAACTCCAACTGAAAAAAAACTACTATAGGGTTCCCAAGAAACAGGCTCTGAGACAATGATTCTACTAAAAGTAGTTATTTGGAAGGTGAAGGATAAACCCACAGGGGTATGGGAAAGTAAGTTAAAGAAAGAAACTAACATAAATGCTTTATCAATCCAATAATGCTGAAGGCTATCGAAGGTTAACACTACAAGGAAAAACCTGCCAGAGTTATGTCACCTACAGGTGACAGGCAGGAATATTTAAACAATAGCTCTTGTCAAATATCAGTTGGAGGCTGAATTTGAGCATTAATTCCCAAGCATTCTATTCTGCTACATGAGTGAGAAAGTGGCTTCAGTGCAGAGAAAGTTGTCAGGCAGAGAAATAAATAAACTGGCCTTTGGGAATGAGACTGGTGTTCACAGATATCATAAGGCCAAGGGAATTTGTGTACATCTTGATAATTCCTTCTAAAACTATGATGTATTTTGAAAAGGTAACATTATAATAGTGCTGTTGTAGGACAGAATTTATTTAAATCTTGCAAATATGTTAGGAGATGTTAAGGAGTGATGTGAAGAATAATGTCCAGTAATTCTCAGTTTTGAAGATCCCACACTATTCTAGAAAGAATTAGCCCATAACTATCATGGAACAGAAAAGGATTTGGATCATCCATCTACCCAAGTAGATTTTAAAGGAGTTCTACCATATAAGACTGTTTATTCATAGAGTATGGCATCAAATTCTTAAGAACTATCTGTTGAAAAGATGGCTCAGTTGATGCCTGAGATCATGTTTGTAACATAACAGAAATACAAAAATCAGAAAGGTGTTGGAGATGAGGTGGAGAACAAATAATGCGTGCCATTATGTACTCCTTGACTCTGTGGTGTGATTCGCTTATCTTTAAGGAAACTTTCATAGAGTACTCACTAGGATGACACACTAAAACATTCTGGAGGGATTATCATTATGCTGTATTACCACTTCATAACCATTCATTTTATAACAATAATTTTTTTCTAAAAATAAAGAAAAATGAAATGTTAATGCTCCACTATTGAGCCCAGATAATAGGTTTTACTTGTGTATAAGCACGTTAATAGGAGAAAAGACTGTGCCTTTACTTTTTAAACATAAAGGAAGCATATTTAGTCACAACTAAGTCTAGAGCAAAAAATGATAATTCTGGATTTCTCCATGATTCTGCAGAGATTTCAATTGATGTATTGCACATGCACATCAATGATCTCCAGTCCTCTCTCCTGGGAACTCCATTAACAGCTCCCAGTGAGGCCTAGGAACTTTGCTTGCCTTTGCCACATGCTGTTCTATCAGCATATGCCAGAATAATTGCTGTTAGAGTTCGAGAAGCATTTTTTTTACAGTGGGGCTAAGTTTCTTAGCCGCATTGGTTGAAAAGAACAATAACAGGTGTGTTTTCATGCTACACTGCACATCTACTGCCACATAGTTATTCAGGCTGCAGGATACCACTGAGAAAGACGGGGAAGTAATCTATGCAAATGTGCTATATAGTTTTGGTTCTGAAGTAACAGGTGCTTCAAAATTAAGACATAGATATCTCAGAAGGAGCCAAGAGATGGTGAACTGTCTAGGGACTGATATAAAATGGATACATTCCAATGGACTTGAATAACGTATGGAGAAATAAGAGCACCATAGGATCACCGGCAGGCTATTGAATTAGATACTGCCGGTAGACATTTCAATAAATATGTGAAAGACTGAGATGAAGAGATGGAGAATTAAAATTTTCAACTGGCAAAAAGCATTAAAAAGCTAAAAATCTTAATTTTTAAAAACTGGCCTATGATATTTTTGCACAGGATATTTTCCATATACTAGAGATTTGTTGGATTTGGCACATGTACGGAATTGAGAACCATGGTGGTAATTACCTCAATGAGAAAAGTTACTAAAACACAGGGATAATTTACATCATCAAGGATCTAGATATAAGTACGGTTTATCTGTAGTGGGAGAAGAGATGGCTTAATGTTTACACTTTTATCTGTTTCCAAAAATTATTTGAGAAGTTTTCTCAGTTGAATGCAGGTGTGTTCTCAACTGAGTATTTTTAAAATACATTTACTCAAAAATTAATTATTGAGCACCAGCAATGTGCCAGGCTCTAGGAATAAAAGAAAGACATCATCCTTGCTTCTTTGGAGCTGATGTCAGTAGAATATAAGGTAAGACAAACATTAAAATAGTTATTTTTAATTTACTATGTCTAGTTGTGACTAATGATCCAAAACACAAGCATAGAGTGAGCGAAGGCTTCAGTGGAAGGCTTAATCTAATCTGTGTGTTTCTATTAATAGAAGTCTTCCACAAAAATACGACATTAAAGCTGGAACCTGAGGCATAACTGTTAGCAAGGTGAAGAGGAGGGCAATGTTTAGAAACTATAGCATGTGCAAACTCCTTGAGAAGGAAAAGTTATTGGTGCATTCTGGGAACCTAAAGAAGAAGGTAAAACTACATTACAGTCAACCCAAGAGTCTAAATATGGTGACAGAGGCAGAAGAGATAGGTAAACAGCTTGTAATGCAGCCTTCTAAAGTATGTTAAAGATTCTGGATATTTCCCTAACGATAACGTAAACATTGAATGATTTTGACCTAGGATAGTGGTTCTCAGTGAGGACGATTTTGCCCCCAGAAAAGATTTGGCAAAAACTAGAAACATTGAATACCTTATACGCGGAAAGATACTATTGGCATTCCCTGGCTAGAGGGCAGAGATGCTGCTAAATATGCTGCATTGCACAAGACAGAGCTTCCAAAACACAGAATTATCTGGATTAAAATGTCAATAGCGCCAAGGCTGAAACACTGTGACTTTCTAGAGACCTACAGAATTAGATTTAAAATCAGTGTTTGTTTGGAAGAGGTTGAATCTAAGGGAGCAAAATAAGATGTGAGACGAAGAGTTAGGAAGTTATTGCAGTGATTTAAGAAAGAGGTAGCTTCTATTGAGATTGTAAAACAATTGCAATATTTTAAAAATTAGAAAAATGGGGTTATCTGAGAAGAGACATTAAACACTGTTTGCTGTTTATGCACTTTATCATGGATTTGTTCACTCACCTTTTTGTTAAGAGGGATGAACTTGGCCCACAGCTCCTTCATACACTACTGGATGTACTACTTCCGTTCCCCCAATTATTGGGTCTGCTGTATATACAGCTCAATAATGAAAGCTACCAACTTTTCCTGGAGGGATAGCAATAGTGAGACTAATGTGAGTTTAAGTTCATCTTTGTGGATTCCAGATGATCTTCACAAATTCTAGTTCAGTTTTCTATTTTTCAGCTAACAATCATCTTTTATGCCTGCAGACCTACAATCATATCTAAACCAATAGCTTTGTATAAACTAATTACCCCCCAAAATTGTGCAGCCACAAATCACTCACAAAATTATTTCATTTCACACTTAGCAATTGTACATTTGCAATCAAATCATGGATGATACATTTGTAGCCTTCAATTAAGTTAATTGTATAAGGACAAGATTCTTACATGATTATTTTATATCATTACTAGTAGTTACACATGTCTAATCAAATTTTGACTTATATGGTTGATAGTCCTCAATTTGAATTTTAAAAGGATGGACAGAAAGTGGTTCTTATAGCCAACTAAGGAGTGAAAGTCCGGTTTTTAGTTAGGATTCAAGAATGGTAAACAAATGTAGTAGTGGTAAATTGGAAACACTAATATTTTC
This sequence comes from Homo sapiens, assembly GCF_000001405.40. Classification (NCBI taxonomy): domain Eukaryota; kingdom Metazoa; phylum Chordata; class Mammalia; order Primates; family Hominidae; genus Homo; species Homo sapiens. The sequence goes on along the minus strand of NC_000006.12, from coordinate 67,448,570 downwards.
ACAAACACTTATGTCTAGCTTTGAATAAATTTAATTTTAGATTGTATAAGGTAGTCTGCCCCTTTCCTAGTTGGCTTCTAATATTGAAAGTAATAAACTTCTCTTGCTGGAAGACAATGTCATACAGATCCTCTAATAATCTTAATTGGCAAATTTGAGTTAATTCATGTCAACTTTTATTGCCAAAACTTTTTTTTTTAATTTTCATTTTCTTCAAGAATGTCTTAGCTACTCTTGAGAATTTCTCTTTAATGCAAAATATAGAATAAACTTTTTATGGTCTATCTTTTATGATTATTAATAGAATCCAATTAAATGTGTATAGTTCAATTTATAGATAATGTAAGCTTATATTGTGGATACTGCCATCTTCATGAGATTATATATATTTACATACTTGAATCTTTCTGTTTTAAAAAATATATTTTACATATTTTAATAAATATTTTCTACATATTATATAGAATATCACTGTTTACATAGATTTTACCACTGTGAAGTGGTTTTTATTACATTTTACAGCTAGTTATATTATTTATTTATTTATTTATTCATTTATTTTTTGGTGGGGACAGAGTCTTGCTCTGTTGCCTAGGCTGGAGTGCAGATCTGGGCTCACTGCAACCTCTGCATCCCAGGTTCAAGCAATTCTCCTGCCTCAGCCTCCCCAGTAGCTGGGATTACAGGCAGGCACCACCAAGGCACCACCACACTGGGCTAATTTTTGTTTTTTTAGTAGAGACAGGGTTTCTCCATGTTGGCCAGGCTGGTCTCCATATTTTCTAGATATTTAGGATTGCTGATATCTGTGGCAAGTTCTTATCTTCAGCTGAATGACAGAGATGAAAATTATTCTAAAAAGGTGAACAAGAGGTTTATTTCTTCTTAAAGCCCAAGAGTATCTAAGGTTCCTTAGATATCTCAGGATTTTCTCAATCCTTACACAATAAATGACTGTGAAAAAAAATGATTCTCAAACATAGGGATGGAATACTTTTTCCTGGAAGTTTTGGGCTTAGTGTGACAGAAAACAAACAATTACAGGTTTCATTTATGAAAATATAGCATCCAAACGTGTATAATAATATTTATGTTTACACTTTACTCTTCAGAGCTAAAATACTCACATCTGAGAACTATGTTTTAAATGAATATTAATTGTAAGATGTAACAAGAAACAGATTTTAAAGATAGACACCATGCCACATTTAATTTATAGCTAGAATTATCAATAACAAATACCATCATTTTTACTGATAAAAATAAACAAAAGCAAGGATCTTAATGATTTCACATCTATAATTAAAATATAAAATAAAAATAATTAAAACTATTTCACCTGAAGACATGAAGGATAATATGTGGATAATTTTAGCCTCTGTATTTTAAAAAAATGTGGTTTTCTAAAACCTTCAGTTGTTCAACACATTACTTAGTTGGTAGAATGCACATACTAGAATGTATTTTCCTAAACTTCCCTTTAACATCTTCCAGTGATTAAACACAAAATGTTCTTATACAGATGATGATGATGTTATTCTATTATCAGTTCTTGCTAACTACTGGCATTAGAGAGAAACTTCCAACTTGAGTTGTGGTTCAATAAACTATTTTATAACATACTTAACCAAATTTAGTAGAGAGTCAAGTGTGGTTATCACTATTCTAAACAGCCTCTAAATCCAAATAAAATATTTTATATCTTTCCACTGTTACAAAAATATGGAAAAGATCTATGCTTCATTTAGCTGTACCTATATAAAAACTATCCCAAAACATAATGACTTTAAAAAAACGAATATTCACTTAGCTCATGATTCTTGCTGAGCCAGTTTTGTCTGGTCTGTGTTGGGCTCCTTAATGTCCTGCAGTTAGCTGGATAGTCAGCTCAAGGTTGATAGGTCTAGAGTGGTCTCACTCACATATATAACAGTGGCCAGGTTTGCGAGACAAGGACAACTGTGCCATGTGTCTCTTCATCATGCAAGTACCTGGGCTTATTCACATGGTAGTAGCTGAATTCCAAAAGAGAGATGGGAAATATATAACACATCTTAAGGCCTATTTCAGACTGGTTCCCTATCATGTCTGCTTCATTTTATAGTTAAAAGAAAAATCACAAATCCAGCCTATACATAAGTGGGTCAACTCCATCTCATGATGAAAAAACTGCAACATCAAATTAAAAGAATATGGTAGAAAAAAATGAGAGTAAAGATTTGTGGCTCTTTGTAATGTATCTATCAAGAAGTGAGAATGAACAAAGGGTGCTTGTAAACTTAGCATACTGAATACAGTGCTTCTCTTGTCTTTGTCGTAAAGAAACTGGCCTTCCTGTTATTTCATACATCTATAATTTATGCTGGCTTCTATATTCACTAGTATGCTAACATAACTTCTATGTCACAAGAAATAATAAATTAGTTGAAATAGGACAATATTAATGTAACTCTGCCTCTTGTTGAATTTAGTGCTTGAGAATAAATTGGTAAAGAGTTGTGAGCCTTCGCCAATCAAAAGCTTATATAAGAAGAAATTTAAATAAACTTGAAAATAAATTGTCTACGTGATTCTATCTATAATGTGACAAGATTTGGAAGGTTTTTATTTTTAATCTTATGGAAGTTGAAAAATCACAGGATGATAACCATTGCTATTCTATTGCTATGGGTTTGCTGATAATATTGTGAGACTAGGGTGAATTATTACTAATATGAAAAGCGAAGAAAGAAATGTAAGCTCTGAATCTATTTATTAAAATTCCTGAGGATAGACAATTTATTTAAGGCATAGATTAGACATTTGTGTGGATGTTACTCATTTTCTCCATCTTGGCATATGTTTCTAAAATACACGTCTGGCAGAAATATACATGGCTTTACCTGTTCTTATCATCTTATACATATTGCCAGGGAGTACAAAGCTAATATTGATGATCATTTAGAGTAAATATTTTGGAAAATATTTTGGATATTTTCAATCTTCTCAGCCTAAACACTTCATTTTAATGTAACTTATTTTATATTTATTTTATCAAACTTTTTTGCTTTAAATATAGCTTATTCAAATCATACCTGAAGATTGTGAATGAACTATAAAAATTACAAATTTTTCTATCATCATTTTCATATTCATCTATTTGAAACTAATTAATATAGAAAATTTTCTGTGACATAATATGAGGCACATATGTTTTCAATGAGAAATCATCCTAGAATTATATTTTAAAAATAAATTGCTTTGGGGTAGGTCTTAACCTCAATTACTTCAGTTAGGTGTTTCATGGAAAACAGTATGCCTAATTATTATTTGTTGAATTGTTTTGTATTCATAACATTTTTATGAATGTGATAAAAATTCATAGACAAAGTGAACTCAAAACTTTTGTCCCTGAAAGTTGTTTGAAACACAGCTATTCAGATTTCTTTATTGACTAATCAATATTTCAAGGTTCTAACTGTTAACCTCTACAATTATAGATTCTTTCAGATCTTTGTTTTTAGTGCATTACGATTTGAGTTACTAGAGTCTACCTTTTGTAAACTAGTCATTGTTGATAAATAGATGCTAACCAACCCACTAAAAATCATATTTTCTGATCTCAAGATTTGCTAATATTCAAACCTCTCTCATTCTCTTTTCATATTACTTCTGAGCATGCCAAGACACTTGTATTAATGTAACAATGTCCCTGAGAGTACTCCTGAAACTAAAGTTGAAAGGTTTATTTTGGAAAAAAGGAGCAAAATTCTAAAAAAGCTGTTTATAACTTTGTAAACAATTAGGACTTGTGATTTTTCTTTATAAGTAAACTACACTGTCTCTACTAATAGCTGGAAACAAGTGGTAACACCATAGGAAGAAGCAGTGGAGGCTATTTTTGTAGGGAAGAAACCTTACTTCATAATTTTATGCATGAAGGAAATTGAACGTCACGAAATTTAAATAACTATTCTAAATAAAAGAACTAGGAAGTGGAAAAGTCAGCAATTCTGTACTCTCTAATCCCCAAACTACATACAACATTTATCCTAATTGATTCTGGAAGGAGTTACCAAGTGATATGGTTTGGCTCTGTGTCCCCATCCAAATCTCATCTGGAATAGCAATCCCCACGTGTAGAGGGAGGGACCTGATGGGAAATGATTGTATTATGGGGTTTGTTTCCCTCATGCTATTAATATTCTCCTGAGGGAGTTCTCAGGAGTTCTGATGATTTAAAAGTGTGGCACTTCCCCTTTGCTCTCTCACTCTTTCTCTCCTGCTGCCTTGTGAAGAAGGTGCTTGTTTCTCTTCCTTCTAAAAAATGTATATATATGCTAGATGACGAGTTAGTGGGTGCAGCGCACCAGCATGGCACATGTATACATATGTAACTAACCGGCACAATGTGCACATGTACCCTAAAACTTAAAGTATAATAAAAAAAAGTATATAAGTGTGTGTGTATACATATATATAATATATATTATATAAATCTATACATATATAATGAATATATATGTAGTCTCTTTAACAAACTTGTCCAACCTATGGCCCACAGGTCACATGTGGCCTAGGATGGCTTTAAATGCAGCTCAAAACAAACTCAAATTTTCTTAAAACGTCATTAGCTTTTTTTGTGATTCTTTTTTAACTCATCAGCTATTGTTAGTGCTAGTGTATTTTATGTGTGATCTAATACAATTCTTCTTCTTCCAAATTGGCTCAGGGAAGCCAAAAAATTGGACACTCCTGCTTTATGACATATAATATACTTATCTAAAATGGCATGTCAGCCGACATTGAAAACAATAGGAATCGCTAGTTCTCAGAAGCCTCCCTCAACATAGGTAAATTTGTTAGACCCCTCTGTTATCACATAATAAGAAGCAGAGTTTGAATCAAGTTGTTAAGATTGCCTCACTGCCCAATTATGTCTCTCGTGCAATAAATGAAATAGATTGGCCTCACAATTTATTGACACAGCTTCATATATTTCATATTTTGATTTTTAATTTGGAAAACTATGTATCAGCTCCATTTTATTTTACAGTTTACTATATATTGATAGTCTTAAATATTACTTTATTCAGTATTTTCAATATATTGATGCTTTTGAATAAATATGGATTATTCTATAATCTTGAAATTTAAATTTAGAGTAAAAATTATTTTCAATGACCTAATACAATATTCATTTCAAACTTTATTTGCCTATATATTCACTGACATTAGAGATTAGAACACTGTCTCTCTGTCTTTCTCTCTCTATATATATATGTATATATATACACACACACAAACACACATGCATACATGTAGCCATTTTTATAAGTGCAATACGTAATCTCGAAAGTGTATATACCATGAATTTTTTTTAGAAATCAAGAATAATTTATGAGATCTGATATTCTAAGTTTTGTAGAATGCTGCTACAAATCTATTACATTTTATGTCTACCAAAGAGTAGAAAATTAAAAATATTTAAATCAATTTTGTTTTTTGCTTTTTATGAAATTTATATAATTGAAATGAGAAATAAGAAAATGCAGTCAGAGTCCCACATGTAACAGAATCTAGGGAGCAGCTTTCTGTATTCTTTGGTATTATTCTTTAGTAATCTAAATGGTTTTGGGATTCCTTCTCATTGCCCTGGATTAAAGGTTCTCAAAGTGCGTCTCTCGATCATTTCAGGGAGTACACAAGGTAAAAATATTTCAATAATACTAAGACATCATTTTTATGTTTTCTCTGTTGATATTATCTAAAATGACGCAAAACCAATGGTAGTAGATACAATCATGGTATCTTACCAAAATCTAAGCAGAGTATCAAATTTTATTCACAGTCCATATTTACTTCACCACCAAACTGAAAAAAAAAGTTTTGCTAAAAGACATTCTTGAGAAAGCAGTAAAAATATTACGTATTTAGTCTTGGTTCTTGAGTACAAGTCATTTTCCTGTTCTATGTGACAACGGGGAAGTTCACATAGAGCACCCTGCTGTCTAAAAATTATAATGGTTGCGTTGTTTGTTCTAGCTGAGAACTAAAATAGACAATATTTTTTATAGAACACCATTTTTCACTTGAACTAATGTCAGATGGATAATTGATATTGAGACTTGTACATTTGATAAAAATTTTCTCAAAAATGATTAAAGAGAGTCACTTCAATGAAAAAACTGGTAGTATTTTGTAGGATGTCATTCTGTTTGGATTTGTTTGATGCATTCTCATAATTACATTGAAGCTATGAATTTTTCTGGAGAATACCATAGAAGTGTGGCTGTTTTCATTACAGTATGGCAGGTGACACATGATACAAACAGGATGTTATTGGGGATGATAAATTTAATTACAGGTTTCTCCATTATAAGTTATTATATTTTGCTTTCAATACTCTATGCTTTAGAAGGGAATCACTAAGTGGGGCCCAAACTCCATTGGAGGATAAGCAATTTCCATTTCTTAGAGGGAGGTATATCATATGTGCATATATATATATATATATATATATATATATATATATATATATATATACACACACACACACATATATATATAAATTTTCATTAGTAACTTTGTCTTCCTTCAATGAATTTCACTTTCATCAACTATAAATATGGTGTTCTGATGGTGATTTTCTATTCCACGGATTTGGTTATTTCTACATTTATTATATTTTGGTAAAGTAAATTTATTCCTTCTCATTTATTTATTTAATAATTTATGTTAAAGTTCATAGATTTATGAATTTTATTTCAGTCTTCAGTTTGTGATCCAACACTTATGTTATTTATTCTATTCCACTCATAGTCATTGGAAGTTCTTTCAGGTTTGTTCCTATGTCTGTTTGACACACCTCTATCCTTTTATTGTTTTAGCGGTTCTTTAACATTTTTGTACTACAAGATATTTCAGGCTTATTTTGTATTTCTTTGCACTGGTCCTAGAACAGGCATTACTACAATGAGTTTTAGTTTCTTCCATTGGAGAATGGTATTAGAAACCAGTAGCTGAGTACTAGATGTGCTCAAAGCTACTTGAATGTTACTATTTTTAGTACTCTTAGTAATCACTGATAGTGTCTTCTGTCAACTCAGATCTGTTAAGCTCCTCTACTAAAATCAATTTTAATTATCATCCTTTTGAACTCTAGAATTTCTAATTTTTAATATAATTTCTATCTCTTTACTGATCATTTGTATTTGGTGAGATACAGTTGTCAGACTTTGTCTTAGTTCCTTTAAACATGGTTTTCTTAATTCTTTAAGCAGTTATAAAGGCTGATTTATTCTTTGTCTTCTAAGTTAAATATCTAGGATCTCACAGACAGTTTCTACTTATATCTTTTTGGGGGGGGGGTATGGACCAACTTCCAATTAGTTTTCATGTCTCTCATCTTTTTTGGATTAAAACTAGACATTTTATGTAATTTATTGTAAAAATTCTGGAATCAGATCTCCCAACAGTTGTTGTTGATATTTGTTGCTGTTGTTATTGGTGTTTGTTTACTTTTCTAGATTAATTCTCTCTAGTCTATATTCTCTGCAGTGTACAGTTACTAATGTGTCCCTCAATTTTGTTTCTTTGTTTTGTCTTATTTATTATCATCATTTATTTGACTTCCTACAGATTGACCTTGGATCAGCAGTTAGCTATCTTAGTTGTCAGCCAATAACTTCCTTAAATCTCTTTAGCCAGTAAGCTTCTCTTTTGGAGAGACAGAGAGAGAATGAGAGAGAAAGAGAGATTGTGTGTAATTCTTCCTTAGGCTTCTCTTACTGCTTGTGCAGTACTTCAAAGTCGGCCAGAAGTGAACAAGTGAAGGCCTTCCTATCCTTTCCTGAACATGTGTGCAGCTTTCTAGATGACTGGAAATATCTCAGAGCCTTTCAAATCCCCCGTATACTTTTTGTTGCCCAGATATTACTCTGAATTTTTGGCTGTGTTCTTGTTTGTCCCAACTAGTATCATAGCCTTAGGAATTCTTACGTTAAACAACTGCAGCTGCTTGTTTTCAATGCCTGGGGATAGGGTTTTTCCTACTGAAGTGAGTTATGAGTTAGTTCAAATAACCATAATACTTGGTGGCTCAGGCCTATAATCCCAGCACTTTGGGAAACCGAGGCAGGGGGATCACTTCGAGCCAGGGGTTTGAGAACAAAATACAAAAATTAGCTGGGGATGGTGGCGGGCACCTGCAGTCCCAGCTACTAGGGTGGCTAAGGCACGAGAATCATTTGAACCTGGGAGGCGGAGGTTGCCCTGAGCCAAGATCGCACCACTGTGCTCCAGCCTGGAAAGCAGAGTGAGACTCTGTCTCAAAATAAAACACAAATAACCATAATATCCTGGGAATGAGGCTTTTCCTCAGAGGTTCATGTTAGATTAAATACTGGCAACACTCTAGTGATGAGACTTTCATAGAGCTCCAAACATGTTTGCCCTCTCTTATAGCTGTGAGGCTGCTGGTTTTGAGGCTATTATACCATGTAGGTGGGAATAGGGTTTGAGAGAAGTCCTAAAATAAAATGCCAATGACCCACTCTTCTTATTGAAGTTGAGTAGTTTTTCTTGAACGAATATGTTTTTTGTTTGTTATAAACCTTTTGTTAATTTTCAGTTTGATGTTTGTGAAATTTATTTTGAATAAATATTGTGCTCTTGGATGAAATAATTGAGTTTTAGCTTCATATATATTTTCACTAAAATCATATTTCTTTACTTTTTTCCAAAATTGAAATACAATTTCTAGATGTAATCTGAAAGTAATCCCAGTGGCAACTTGACACACCTGGATGATAACATAGAAATAATTTTTGGTACAGAAATATTGATACTTTAAAGTGGTACAAAAATTAGGATTATGTGATACTGGCACAAAAACATGTTTTCATGAATATTTCTAATCTACATTGGAATATATTTTCATGTTAAAATAATCAGTATAATTTTTCATAATTCTAACACATGTTTTGTCCTTAATGTTTCATAAAAACATCATGAGATTAACATATTTTAATTTACTCTTGTATATTATGCAACTTTTTCATACACTTTATTATTTGTTCATTGCACCTTGCTGTAAAGATTTATTCGAATCTGAAAACTTCTTCATTCATTACTTTCTTTGCTGAATAAATATAGTTACATTTCAAATAACATAATCTATACTGGGAAAACGATTGAACAAGGTGAACAGGATCTTTAATGTCATGGAATTTTCTTAATGGATGGTAAAGATAGATTAAACAGACAAGTATTCAGACTAGAACACAGGAGCAATCAGAATTACCAATACAAATAGAACACAGGAAATATAACCTTGTTTGCTGTAAGAACAGAGGCAACATCTGTAAACATTATCATATTTTCACTATTCAGTTGATAGCAATGATGGTGCTTGATATATCATAAGAGATAACATTGGCAAGGGGAAGAATTTGTCATTTTCGGTTCCTCATCTTTCACTGGTCACTTAGAGGTCTAACCTCAAAAGACTCCTTTAGAGACAATAATAATTTTGATGAAAATTAAAATAGATACCATGTTGAGTATAGCAATTAAAATATCAAGTAGTAAACTGCAGTATGGATAAAGACACAACCTTGGAAAAAATAAATAGACATGTTTTTCTTTTATACCTATAAAACAACTTATTTTTAGAGTAAAATGTTAAGTTGGAACTGGGTCCATGATGCTTTGTGATTATGTAATTAACCTATAAATTAGATGTATCTACATTTCTCTGTAGCACAAAATGTGAAGTTAGTTTTTACATTTAATTGGTGAACACAGAGACCTCACTTTTTTTATTATTGTATATCTTAGAATTCCAAGATCACTACTTGCTCATATAGTATATTTAAATAACTTTATTTTATTCTTCAGGTAATTAAATATTATTGGTCATTTTCTTTCATGATACTGTAGCTGTCTGTAATCATTTTGGATTCAGAATCATTCAGGATTCTGAAACCAGATTTGTTCAGCCAGTTACTAGCCATGTAACATTGTAGTGGCACAGTTTTATGGCTCAAATTTGGTAAAAACTGAAATGAAAATGTCGAAAGTGGGCATCTTTGTCTTGTTCTAGATCTTAGAGGAAAATATTTCAACTTTTTTTTTATTCAGTATGATGTTAGCTGTGGATTTGTTATGTATGGGCTTTATCGTGCCAAGCTTTGTTCCTGCTCTATCCAACTTTTTGAGGGTTTTGATCATAAAAGGACTTCAAATTTTATCGAAAGCTTTTTCAGTATCTATTGAAAAATCATAGTTTTTGTCCTCGATCTTATTAATGTGGGTGTCACGTTTATTGATTTTCATATGTTGAACCATCTTTACATTTCTGGGATGAGCCCTACTTGATCATGATTAACCATCTTGTTAATGGTTGTTAAATTTGAATAGTTAGTGTTTTGTTGAGGATTTTTTTCAACTACATTTATTGGAGATCTTGGCCTGTAGTTTCCTTTTTTCTTTTTCTTTTTTTCTATATCTTTATCTGGTTTGGGTATTTGGGTAATGCTGGATTTGTAGAATGATATTCAAAGTATTCTTTCTCCTTCAATTTTTAAAAATAATTTGAATACAACTACTTTTTTTAATATTTGGTAGAACTCAGCAGTGAAGTCATCAGGTTCAGGGCTTTACTTTGATGGGACACTTTTTATTACTGATTTAATCTCCTTATTTGTTATTGGTCTGAATAGGTTTTATATGTCTTCATGATTCAATCTTGGTAGGTGTTCAAGAATGTATTTATTTTTTCTAGGTTTTCCAATTTGTTGGCCTAGTGTTTTTTATAGTAGTCTCTTATGATTCTTTGTATTTCTATGTATCAGTCAAAATGTCACATTTTTCATCTCATTTTATTTCTTTGAGTTTTCTCTCTTGCTTTTCTTATTCAAAAAACATCTTTTCATTGTGAAATGATTTTTGACAAATGAGAACACTCTTTGGGGAAAGAACAGTTTCCTAAATAAATGGTCCTGGGAAAACTAAATATCTACATGTAGAAGAATGAAACCAGATCCCCATTTCTCACTATGTACACAAAATCAACTCTGAATGGATAAAACATTGAAATGTAAGACCTGAATCTATGAAACTACAAGAGGAAAACAGGCAAAATACTTCATGAAATTGGACTGAGCAAAGATGTTTTAAGTAAGATCTCAAAAACACAGGCAACAAAAGCAAGAATAAACAAATGGGGTTACATCAAATCAAAATGCTTCTTCACAGGAAAAGAAACAATCAATAACATGAAGAGATAGTATGAGTGAAAGTATTTGCAAACTATGCATCTAACAAATTGTTAATATCTAGACTATACAAGAAGCCAGCTAGGGAGAAAGACTATTAAAGCAACAAACAAAAAAACAAACAACAACAAAAATAAAATCAGGCAAAATGTGTATATAATGTTTCTGAAAAGAAGACTTACAAATGGCCAACATATATGTGAAAATATGCTCCATATCACTTATCATCTGAGAAAAGCAAATCAAAACTACAACGGGAAATCACCTTATCCCAGTTAAAATGGCTATTAACAAAAAGTCAAAAAATAGCAAATGCTGGATAGGAGGCAGACAAACGGGAGCTCATACACTCTTGATAGGAACGAAAAACAGTATGGAGGTTCCTCAAACATTTGAAGAAACAGCTAACATATTTAGCAATCCCAGTACTAGATATGTGTCCAAAATAAATGAAATCAGGATGTTGAAGATGCATCTGCACACCCATGCTTATTGCAGCACTGTTCACACTAGTTGAGATATGGATTCAATCAGCCATACAACAAAATGAAATCCTGTCATTTGTGGCAACATGGATGTACTTGGAGGACATTATGTTAAATGGTTAAGTGAAATAAGCCAGGCCAAGAAAGACAACAGCCTTGCATCATCTCACTCATATGTAGAACTTAAAAAAGCTGAATCCACAGAGGAATAGGATAAAACAGTGGCTATTCCAGAGGCTGGAGAGTATAGGAGCATAGCAAGAAGCAGGGACCAGGAAAGGTCGGTCAACCAACAGATACAAAGTTATAATTAGGAAGAAACCTTTTGATGTTCTAACAAAAGGTGGAATTACTACAGCAAATAATAATGTAGTATCTATTTCAAGAAATCTAAAAGATTTATTTGTGCTGTCAGCACAAAGAAATTATGAATGTTTAAAGTGATGGACATGGTAATTACCCCAGTTTGATAATTTTCCTATGTACACACGAATTTAAACCTCCCATTTTACCCCATCAATAAGTACAAATATTATATATCAATTAAAATTAAAAAAATTAAAAAATAGAATAAAGAAGTGCCAAATTTGTAAAATAACTAATAAGAATTTAACAAATTAACATATGTAAAGCATTTATAGTGCCTGGTACATGGTAAATACTCAATACATATTAGCTGATACTATTCCCAAGTAGTAGAAAGAAGAGGGCCCTTCTCAAAATTGGACATCTAAATATCATTACGTCTAGTTGTTTGTGTTTTCATAAAAAGTTCTAAAGTGGCATTTCGAATATGGAAGCGTATACTTTTGTAAAATGTACTTCTCATGCACAGGCAACTAAAGAAGCTAAAGAGAGATACAATTAATCAAAACTAGAGAAATGTAAACTATATTGCTAATTTGCTTTTAGGATAAATTACTGGCAGAGTCCAAAACTCAGTGAAATATTCTCATTTTCATTTTTTCTGAGTATAAATTTTCCCTATATCTGAGTCATGGCTTTTAATGCAGCTTCTTTCCTTTCAATGCATTCTAGCTTCAATCAAAGATAACTCAAGAAGTTGACTCTTGGGTTTGAAAGCTCCTTACACATTTCTTTGTTAAAAGCAATTCCTTTATTCCTACCTGTTTCCTTCTGGGCAACAGGACCTGGCATTACTTTAATCCTAGTTAATGCTGATTTAAACCTTGCTTCAATTTCTTATAATGTCCTGGGGAAATAATATATCTTGTATGAGAGACCCCATACTTCTCTTTAAATCCCTATTTTTAAAATATTGAAAAGAACAATAGTTCATAAATTTTATTTATATAATTTTATCTTTTTATTTGCAATACAATACACTTTTACACTATCAATACAGGACTATAAACCTTATTCTTTTTCACATTTTTTTCATAACATCTATGTTTCTTAATTGTCTCAGTCTGTTTTATGCTGTTGTATCAGAATACCACAGACTGAGTAATTTATAATGACCAGAAATTTATTGGCTCAGGATTCTGAAGACTGAGAAGTCTAAGATCATGGCACGGGCATCAGATAAGGGTTTTCTTACATCTTCTCAGAGCAGGAGGCAGAACAGCAAGAGGGCATGAGAGAGGGATGGAGACAGAGGCAAAGAGGTGTGAACTCAAGCTTTAAAAAAAAAATTCCCTCCCATGATAATGAAACTACTCCCATGATTATGAGGTCAGAGCCCTAAAAACCTACTCACATCTTAAAAGTCCAACCTTTTAATACAGTTACAATGTTAATTAAATTTCAACATAGATTTTCCAGGGATATTTAAACCATAGCAGTAATGTACATTGACTTTAGAGTTGCACTGTCAGGATTAGCAAAACCATACTTATGTAAACTTGCTGATCAAACATGTTACATTTTATTATTCCTTAAAACACTGAAAGCATTATTATTACAGAATAATATTTTGTAGTGTATTTAAAAACTAATATAAAAGTTAACCACTATAACATTTTGAGTGTTGTCACAAATTCATATTTATATTATAAAAGAAACACATATCATTTGAAATAAAAAAATTATAACAATATAATGTAGACATAAATTAATAAAAACTCACGATAAAGAGATACCTACTGTAACTTTCTTAACATTATTTAACATATATGGTATTACAGGATGCATTTTAACAGTATTCATTATATATCATATAATATATGCAGAAATATATTAATATTATATACATTAACAGTATCTGTATTCTGTGTTAAAACTACTTTCTGACCTTCTTTATACAATTAACAATATATACTTACTCTTTTCTTATTGTAAGATTCTGTGAAATAATTATCTAATCAAATGTATATTCCATATGCTACTTAATATTCAAATTGCTTCCAATACTATATTATTTTTATAAGTGATATAGCACTGCATACACTCATTCATAAATTTTATATGCCTCTTTATATTTCATATGGAATAAAATTTTCTAAAAGTATACATTTAGGTCAAAAGGTTTAGGTTTCTTAATAATTTGATTAAATGGTGACAGGTGATTATAATTCAAAAGTGAGGTATATTTATTTGGACGTGAAAATAATGGTAACTGTAGAGTATTTGGAAATTGTTGAAATTTTGAAAAGCATCTACATCAGTTATAATCTGGCCATTCAATATTTATTTAAATGCTTATATATATATAATTGTTATACATGTGTATATGTCTATGTTTCTGTATATATGTATGTATATACATACATACATACATACAAACGCACAAACAGACACAGCAGTTTTATAAATATACATGGAGTCACAATGGACACGGAATTATTGAATTCTGAATCACTGTTCCTGGGAATAATTAGGACCATGTAAGCCTCTGATCACATTTTTATTAACTGATTAATTCATACAATTCTTTTATCTGTGTTTTACATTAAAGAAAACATAATATATATTACTGATTTATGAACATTCAACTCACTCATGGCCAACAGCACTATACCTCGTGCCTGAATGAAAATTATCTAACACATATTTTCTCAGCAAAATATGTCATAGCCTTCTCATATTTAGAAACACTACCCAGCACATTAACACTATGCTTGGAAGCCATTTAAAACAGCAAAATCACCAACAAAAACCACAAAAAATGCGACAAATGGAGCACTAAATAAACTACAAAAAGAACACTTTTTTTGTAGTATGAAAGCTGAAACAAAAAGAAAGAACATTGCCTGGTTCAACCTCATCTGGAAATCTGCATGGTTGGTCAGCTCAAATGTCTTGCTACTCGGCACATATCTGTCAATGACCATGAAAGTGCCATGACTACTGATTTTAGGATTAATAACACATTTTATTAAATTAGGTGGATCATAAATATGAGATTCACAAATATTACGGATTGACTATATATGCACCAAAGTCCTTACTTCCTTGCTCCTGTTTTTCTTTTCTCTTGTTATTCTTGCACTAACCCTACCCTGACACATACTAGCAAGTTGGTTGCATCATGTCATTGCCTCTTGATGTCAAGTTAATTTATTTTTGTGGTCAAACTCAGTAAAACTTTGCTTGAATCTTCAGTCTTCAGATCGGATCATGACCTAGCCAATACCAACCATTTTTCTCTGCACACACTTAACACATATTTTATGATAAATGACCTACCCATCACAAGGGTTGATGTTCCAGAAGCAGCATAGATAAAAATTTTATATATATATGTAAATATATATGTATATATAAATACATATAAATATATATTTATAAAATATATATAAATATATATTTATATATAATGTATTTATATTTATATATAAATATATATTAATAAATATATAAATATATATTTATATTTATATAGGTTATATATTAACCTACATAGGTTATCAATATAACCTATATATTAATATTAATAACCTATATAACCTATAATAGGTTATATAGGTTATTAATTAACATTAATAACCTATATATAGGTTATTAATTAACATTAATAACCTATATATAGGTTATTATATATTATATATAAATATAATATAATATTTTATATTATAATATATTTAATATATTAATTATTATTAATTATTAATAATTTATAATTAATAACAATATTAAATAATTGTTATTAATTGATTAATTTTATATATTTATATATTAATATGTATAACCTCTATAGGTTATATGTTAATATTTATAACCTATTATAGGTTATATATAATCTATATATAGGTTATATATAATCTATATATAGGTTATATTATCTATATATAGGTTATATATATAACCTATATATAGGTTATATATATAGGTTATATATATAACCTATATATAGGTTATATATATAACCTATATATAGGTTATATATATAACCTATATATAGGTTATATATAGGTTTTATATATATAATCTATATATAGGTTTTATATATATAATCTATATATAGGTTATATATATAGGTTTTATATATAGATTTTATATATATATAATTTATATATAGGTTTTTTTATATATATATATATGGGTTATATATATATAACCTATTCTGTTCCACATGATTAAAACCTTCTGCTTAGGAACTTACTGAGAATGCTTGAGTATATGAGTATAAATTCTGGGACAATGAATACTTATTCACAAAGTATGAGCCTATTCAAGGCAGTAAATATATATTGACTTTACAAATTTACTTCCAGATAGTTGGCATGAGTTTACATTTCCACTAGTGGTCTATGAGAATACATTTTTTTCCATTGTACCCTCACAAAAACTTTTATTTTAAACTTTGTAATGGTTTTATAAAGCACTTATTAAAATTCAGTTTCTATTATAAATAGTGAGAATGAACTTATTTTTTAATTGTTAGATTTTTAACTTTTTTGTCAATTGTTGGTGCTTCACTCTCTTTAACTGAAATACATGTTTTATTTATAGTTTTTCATTAGCACATTGTTGATTGGGATTATTAAATGTGGTTTGCTTCTTTATGCCACAACCCTGAATTCTAACTCCTTTAAATATTTTATAAGTTGAAAGTCATAATATCTAGGAGAATAGAGGCAAATATGGGCTTGATTATATATTGTCTCTAAATCAAGGAAAAATTTTAAAAATAATTTCATATCCAAATTACTCTCTCTACCTCACTTTAATTCTTTCCACAAAATGCTTTTTAAATCCAACATTTACTAATGTATCAAGCAGAATGTTATTCTGACATTTAAGTAAAGTAAAAAATTTTGCCTACATGACAATTAGGGAAGTTACAGGAAGTAAATGAAGGATTAATTTATTTCTTCAACTGTTTTTTTTTAACCATCTTTTGATTTGCTTGGACATAACTCCTTGTTCTCAGACCAATTCCTGCCGTCTCCTTCCTTATCACATTGTTAGTAAGACGTTGTACTATTTGAAGATTTATCTCCACCCAGACACTAAATTAATGTTAAATTTATGTGTTTGTATATTTAAAGTACCGTCACTAGATATGGAGTCCAGAAATGGATTGCTGTTCAATTACCTTAACTCGAGTGTGCTTACTGATCCATGACCTCACATTCCATTATTAGACCTGAACTACTTTTTTCCAGACGTCCCACAACTACATCTCCTTGTACTTCCTGGTATAGAGTCCTGTTTGTATCAAAGTTGACCTCATTCTGTTATCCCTCGCCTTTCCAAGGAAGGCTACCATGAGTCAGGCTATTCCGAATATTATTTTCTAATAACTCCAGCCCAGATGGAGCACTATTCATTGAAATGATTGTATGATTTTCTTAGTTTAGCCATGCAAATATTTTGGACATTTAAACATTTAAAATATTGGGTCTGTCATACTAAACAATTTATTATTTTATTTTATTAGTATACAATGATTATTTTCATTGTCATTTTATTTTGCTTTTTGATTCCTCTGTTATTTACCTGAGAACACTGTTAATTAACATTTTCTCATCTCTTTTACGTAACAAAGAAGATTATAGGGTTCAGGCACAGTTGCTCATGCCTGTTTTCTCTGAACTTTGGGAGGCAGAGATGGGAGGATCAGTTGAGACCAGGAGTTTGAGATCAGCTGTGGCAATATAGCAAGACCTTGTCTCTATGAAAAACCAAAAACAAGACAGACAAATGTGGTAGTCCTGGCTATTCAGGAGGCTGAGATGGGAGGATCCCTTGAACCTAGGGGTTGGAGGTTACATTGAGTTATGATTGCACCACTGAACTCCAGCTTTGGCAATGGAGTGAGACCATGTTTTTTAAAAAAGAAGAAGATTATAGATACAGGAGCCTAGAGACAATTTTTTTCCTCACATTTCTACACATTTCTATATAAGAATATTAGGAGATTTTTTTCCTCTGGATTAACTTTTCAATAATGTTTTATAACAACCATTCACGTAATATAGAGAAAGTGTCTCTGTCTGAAAGAGATTTGTTTAATGTCCAGGAAAATCAGATATATCTCCTTCTATAGCAGTTTGGCCATGTTTTCCAGCAGCCCCATATATAAGCTCAAGGTTTCTTAATTTTACAATTCCTTTCCTGTAACATATTCTACTGAATGTGTAAGTATCACCTGGCAATTATTGCATAACACTATGAGAACTGAGGTTCAAAGAATCAATGATTTTACTCAGCTACTGCTGTGAATAATAAGCTGTCCTTTGTCTCTGACCTGAGAGTCTCATATCTTCTACCAGTATCTATAAAACTGAAAAGATGACTTGCTAGCTTTCAAATATGGTTAAATCTCAGCCATGCACAATTTCTAAAACAGGTTGTATACAGAATTGCCAGGCTTTTCAAAATAATGGTACTATACATTTATAGATTGCTTTTATATAAATGATTTCATTTAATTTTTAAAACAGCTTTGAAATGTAAAACTAGCACTACTGGTTATTAAGCATGATTTAGAAGAACCTAACCTCATTGAACTTCAGTTTATTAGTAAAAATGATATAATTTCTACTGCATGAAACCTCTATGTGAATTAAATAGCTGATGCATGTAATGTGCTGACAAGAGTACCTGTTACAGAGTTGGTGCCCGATGTGTCTGTAAAATCTCATTATTTCTTCCAATTATTCTGAGACATAATGATCATCCAAGGCCTTTTTTAAGATGTTGTCCTTGATATAACCATATTATGCCCCTTTAATTCTCAAACTACTTATTTATACTATCAATACATTACTTGTAATTTAATAGCATGCTCTCATGTATCACTTTTTCAAATCTCTATAAAGATAAGCACCTTCAGAGCAAAGTCTTGAGAGCAAAATCACATGCATGCTATTTTTCTACCAAACTATCTAATAGAATCTAGTCAATATTGAAAACTAACTTCTGACAAAATTATTCTAAAAGCTCAATATATTCTGTAATGTGGACTTACTGGGCCAATGAATAAATATTTTTGGACATGTGTCTTGTAGGATGTCTTATAGCTTATTTTTATAGTTGTGTTTTGTGGTTTCCTTTCATCACCTTAGAAAAAAACACAGATATTTATTTCAAGTAAGGTACAAAGAATGACATGTTAAATCAGAAAAGCTTTTTTAAAATAATTGTTCTTTAGGTGCATTTGGTACAAAAGATGACCCCAAATTTGAGAAAATTTCCATTGGTGCATGATAGGCTTTCCCTAAGATGGTATCACAGAATAGGATGTTAGTAATAGTGAGCATTAAGAGTTACTTATGTTATAATGTAAATGCCATCAGCAATAATTATAACTAGGAAGCAATATTTCTGGAAACTACACAAATCTTTATCTAATTATACTTTTGCTTCCGTTTACCTGTCTAAAGCCTTAGAATTTTATTTAAGATATTTACGTTTGTAACTAACGAAAGTATTCAAAGTAATTGTATAATTCAAGAACACATTCATATTTATAATATATATAAATTCAGAAAATTTAAATTTAGATCATCTGTATTTTTTGAAACTGCCAGAACTACGCCAAATAATATTAAACATTAAATAAAACACTATGGGCTTCCTGGGCAAGAGAGCCGAACAGGAACAGCTCCTGTGTGCAGTTCCCAGTGAGACCAACAGAGAAGGCAGGTGATTTCTGCATTTCCAATGGAAGTACCCGTTTCATTTCATTGGGACTGGTTAGACAGTGGGTGCAGCCCACAGAGGGCGAACAGAAGCAGGATGGGGCATTGCCTCAACTGAGAAGTGCAAAGAGTTGGTGAACTCCCTCCCCTAGCCAAGAAAAGCCCTGAGGGACTGTGCTGTGAGGGACAGAGCTAGCTGGCCCAAACACTACACATTTCCCAAGATCTTCAAAACTCACAGACCAGGAGGTTCCCTCAGGTGTCTATACCACCAGGGCCCTGGTTTTCAAGGACAAAATTGGGTGGCCATTTGGGCTGACATCAAGCTAGCTGTAGGTTTTTTTTTTTTAAATACCCCAGTGGCATCTGGAAACCCAGTGAGACAGGAGAACCATCCACTCCCCTGGAAAGGGGGCTTAAAATTTTCGCCGCCAACACAGCAGTCTGAAGCGGACCTGGGACCCTTGAGCTTGATGTGGGGAGGGGCGTCCATCATTACTGAGGCTTGAATAGGTGGTTTTCCCCTCACCGTGTAAACAAAACCCTCAGGGAGTTCCGAATGAGTAGAGCCCATCCCAGTGCTGCAAAGCCACTGTAGCCAGACTGCCTCTCTAGATTCCTCCTCTCAGGGAAGTGCACCTCTGAAAGAGGCACCAGCCCCCGTCAGGGGCTTATAGATAAAACTCCCATCTCCCTGGGACTGAGACCTGGGGGAAGGGGCAGCTTTGGGCACAGCTTCAGCAGACTTAAACCTTCCTGCCTGCCGGCTGTGAAGAGAACAGTGGTTCTCCCAGCACAGAACTCAAGTTCTGCTAAGGGACAGGCTGCCTCCTCAAATGGGCCTCTGACCCACGTGCCTCCTGATGGGGAGACACCTCCTAGCAGGGGTTGACAGACGCCTCATACAGGAGAGCTCTGGCTGGCATCTAGCCAGTGCCCCTCTAGGATGAAGCTTCCAGAGTAAGGAGCAGGCAGCAATCTTTGCTGTTCTGCAGCCTCCGCTGGTAATACCTAGGCAAACAGGGTCTCGAGTGAAACTCCAGCGAACTCCAGCAGACCTGCAGAAGAGGGTCCTGACTGTTAGAAGAAAAACTAACAAACAGAAAGTAATAGCATCAACATGAACAAAAAGGACGTACATGCAAAAACTCCATACAAAGGTCACCAACATCAAAGACCAAAGGTAGATAAATCCACCAAAATGAGGAAACACTAACCCAAAAGGCCAAAAATTCCAAAAGCCAGAATGCCTCTTCTCCAAATGATTACAACTCCTCTCCAGCAAAGAAACAAAACTGGACGGAGAATGAATTTCACAAATTGACAAAAGCAGGCTTCAGAAGGTGGGTAATAACAAACTCCTCCGAGCTAAAGGAGCATGTTCTAACCCAATGCAAAGAAGCTAAGAACCATGATAAAAGGTTACAGGAACTGCTAACTAGAATAACCAGTTTAGAGAGGAATAAAAGTGACCTGATGGAGCTGAAAAACACAGCACAAAAAATTTGTGATGCATACACAAGTATCAATAGCCAAATAGATCAAGCAGAAGAAAGGATATCAGAGATTGAAGAACAACGTAATAAAATAAAGCATGAAGACAAGATTAGAGACAAGAGAATGAAAAGGAACAAACAAAGCCTCCAAGAAATATGGGACTATGTGAGAAGACCAAACTACATTTGATTGGTGTACCCAAAAGTGACAGGAAGAATGGAACCAAGTTGGAAAACACACTTCAGGATATTATCCAGGAGAATTTCCCCAACCTAGCAAGACAGGCCAACATTCAAATTCAGGAAATACGAGAAAACCACAAAGATATTCATCGAGAACCTCAACCCCAAGACACATACTCGTCAGATTCACCAAGGTTTAAATGAAGGAAAAAAAGTTAAGAGCAGCCAGAGAAAAAGGTCAGGTTACCCACAAAGGGAAGCACGCCAGACTAACAGTGGATCTCTGTAGAACACTTACAAGCCAGAGGAGAATTAGTGCCAATATCCAACATTCTTAAAGAAAATAATTTTCAACCTAGCATTTCATATCCAACCAAACCAAGCTTCATAAGTGAAAGAGAAATAAAATCCTTTACAGACAAGCAAATGCTGAGGGATTTTGTCACCATCAGGCCTGCCTTACAAGAGCTCCTGAAGGAAGTACTAAATATGGAAAGGAAAAACCGGTGCCAGCCACTGCAAAAACATACCAAATTGTAAAGGCCATCGACACGATGAAGAAACCCCATCAACTAATGGGTAAAATAACCAGCTAGCATCATAATGACAGGATCAAATTCACACATAATGATATTAATCTTAAATGTAAATGGGCTAAATGCCCCAATTAAAAGACACAGACTGGCAAATTGGATAAAGAGTCAAGATCCATTGGTATGCTGTATTCAGGACACCCATCTCACATGCAAAGACACACATGGGCTCAAAATAAAGGGATGGAGAAAGGTTTGCCAAGAAAAAAAAAAAGCAGGGGTTGCAATCCAGTCTCTGATAAAACACACTTTAAACCAACAAAGATAAAAAAAAAAAAGGAGGGCATTACATAATGGTAAAGGTGGTAAAGGGATCATTGAAACAAGAAAAACTAACTATCAAAAATATATACGTACCCAATACAGGAGCACCCAGATTCATAAAGCAAGTTCTTACATACCTAAAAAGAGACTTAGACTCTCACACAATAATAGTGGGAGACTTTAACACCCCATTGTTAATATTAGATAGATCGATTAGACAGAAAATTAACAAGAATATTCAGGAATTGAACTCAGCGCTGGACCAAGCAGACCTAATAGACATCTACAGAACTCTCCACCCCAAATCAACAGAATATACGTATTTCTTAGCACCACATAGCACTTAGACTAAAATTGACCACATAATTGAAAGTAAAACACTCCTCAGCAGGTGCAAGAGAATGGAAATCATAACAAACAGCCTCTCAGGTCGCAGTGCAATCAAGTTAGAACTCAGGATTTAAAAACTCACTCAAAACCACATAACTACATGGAAACTGAACAACCTGCTCCAGTATAACTACTGGGTAAATAATGAAACTAAGGCAGAAATAAATAAGTTATTTAAAACCAATGAGAACAAAGACACAACGTACTAGAATCTCTGGGACACAGCTAAAGCACTGTTTAGAGGAAAATTTGTAGCACTGAATGCCTACATGAGAAAGTAGGAAAGATCTAAAATCGACACCCTACCATCGCAATTAAAAGAACTGGAGAAGCAAGAGCAAACAAATTCAGAAGCTAGCAGAAGACAAGAAATAACTAAGATCAGAGCAGAACTGAAGGAGATAGAGACACGAAAAACACTTCAAAAAGTCAGTGATTCCAGGAGTTGGTTTTTTGAAAAGATTAACAATATAGATAGACCACTAGCCAGATTAATAAAGAAGAAAAGAGAGAAGAATCAAATAGAAACAATAAAAAATGTTAAAAGGGATATTACCACTGATCCCAGAGAAATACAAACTACCATCAGAGAATACTATAAACACCTCTATGAAAATAAACTAGAAAATCTAGAGGAAATGGATAATTTCCTGCACACATGCACACCCCCAAAGCTAAACCAGGAAGAAGTCGAATCCCTGAACAGACCAATAACAAGAACTGAAATTGAGGCAGTAATTAATAGCATACCAAACAAAAAATGTCCAGGACCATATGGATTCAGAGTCGAATTCTAGCAGAGTTACAAAGAGGAACTAGTATCATTCCTTCTGAAAAGATTCCAAACAGTAGAAAAAGAGGGACCCCTCCCTAACTCATTTTATGAGGCCAGCATCATCCTGCTACCAAAACCTGGCAGAGACACAACAAAGAAAAAGAAAATTTTAGGCCAATATCCCTGATGAACATCGATGCAAAAATCCTCAGTAAAATACTGACAAGCCTAATCCAGCAGCACATTGAAAAGCTTAATCAGCACATTGAAAAGCACGATCAAGTTGGCTTCATTCCTGGGATGCAAGACTGGTTCAACATACGCACATCAATAAACATCGTCCATCACATAAACAGAACCAATGACAAAAACCACATGATTATCTCAATAGATGCAGAAAAGACCTTCAATAAAATTTGACATCCCTTCATGATAAAAACAATCAATAAACTAGGTACTATATACCTTATCTCAAAATAATAAGAGCTATTTATGACAAACCCACAGCCAATGTCATACTGAATGGGCAAAAGGTGGAAGCATTCCCTTTGAAAACTGGCACAAGACAAGGATGCCCTCTCTCACCACTCTGATTCAACATAGTATTGGAAATTTAGGCCAGGGCAATCAGGCAAGAGAAAGAAATAGTATTCAAATAGGAAGAGAGGAAGTCAAATTATTTCTATTTGCAGATGACATGATCATATACTTAGAAAACCCCATCTTCTCAGCCCCAAAACTCCTTAAGTTGATAAGCAACTTCATCAAAGTCTCAGGATACAATATCAATGTGCAAAAATCACAAGAATCCTTATACACCAATATTAGACAAACAGGGAGTGAAATGATGAGTGAACTCCCATTCACAATTACTACAAAGAGAATAAAATACCTAAGAATAAAACTTACAAGGAATGCGAAGGACCTCTTCAAGGAGAAGTACAAAACACTGCTCAAGGAAAGAAAAGAGGACACCTAAAAACGAAAAAACATTCCATGCCCATGCATAGGCATAGTAAATATCGTGAAAATGGCTATACTGCCCAAAGTAATTTATAAATTCAATGCTATTCCCATCAAGCTACCATTGACTTTCTTCAAATAATTAGAAAATACTACTTTAAATTTTATATGAAACCAAAAAACAGCCTGTATAGACAAGACAATCCTAAGCAAAAAATGAAGCTAGAGGCATCATGCTACGTGACTTCAAACTATACTACTAGGCTACAGTAACCAAAACAGCATGGTACTGGTACAGAAAGCAAATATATAGACCAATGGAACAGAACAGAGGCCTCAGAAATAATGCCACACATCTACCACAATCTGACCCTTGACAAACCTGACAAAAACAAGAAACGGGGAAAGGATTCCCTATTTAATAAATGGTGCTGGGAAAACTGGCTAGCCATATGCAGAAAACTAAAACTGGACCCCTTACTTACACCTTATACAAAAATTAACTCAAGATGATTCAAAGATTTAAACATGAGACCTAAAACCATAAAAACCCTAGAAGAAAACCTACGCAACACCATTGAGGACATAGGCATGGGCAAAGATTTCATGACTAAAACACCAAAAGCAATTGCAACAAAAGCCAAAATTGACAAATGGGATCTTATTAAACTAAAGAGATTTTGCACAGTAAAAGAAAATATCATCAGAGTGAACAGGCAACCTACAGAATAGGAGAAAATTTTTGCAATCTATCCATTTGACAAAGGGCTAATATCCAGGATCTAAAAGGAACTTAAATATATTTACAAGAAAAACACAAACAACCCCAATAAAAAGTGGGCAAGGGATATACACGAACACTTTTCAAAAGAAGACATTTATGCAGCCAACAAACATGAAAAAATGCTCATCATCACTGGTTATTAGCGAAATGTAAATCAAAACCACAATGAGATAACATCTCATGCCAGTTAGAGTGACAATCAGTAAAAAGTCAGGAAACAACAGACTCCAGAGAGGATTTGGAGAAATAGGAACACTTTTACATTGTTGGTGGGAGTGTAAATTAGTTCAACCATCATGAAAGACCGTGTGGTGATTCCTCAAGGATGTAGAAGTAGAAATACCATTTGACTCAGCAATCCCATTACTTGGTATATACCCAAATGATTATAAATCATTCTACTATGAAGACACATGCACACACACATTCATTGCAGCACTATACACAATAACAAAGACTTGGAACCAACCCAGATGTTCATCAGTGATAGACTGGTTAAAGAAAATATGGCACATATGCACCATGGGATAATATGCAGTCATAAAAAAAGAATGAGTTCATGTCCTTTGCAGGGACATGGATGAAGCTGGAAACCATCATTCTCAGCAAAGTAACACAAGAAGAGAAAACCAAACACCACATGTTCTCACTCATAAGTGGGAGTTGAACAATGAGAACATATGGGTACACGGAGGGGAGTATCACACACCAGGGCCTGTTGGGGTTGGAGGGCAAGGGGAGGGATAGCATTAGGAGAAACACCTAATGTAGATGACAGGTTGATGGGTGTAGCAAAACACCATGGCAGCACATGTATATCTATGTAACAAGCCTGCACGTTCTGCATGTGTATCTTAGAACTTAAAGTATAATAAAAAAAATTAAAATCTGTGAATTCGCTTTCATTGTACCAGTTGTACCAATAAACTCTACACTCGGGTAAAAAGTAAAGAATGGAAATATAGTTTAAACAATCTTTAAGTGGAAACATCTAAAATTTATCTATCAGTTACAGGTATGTCAGTAAGAAGTGGCACAGATCTTAATTATTTAAGACTTTTCTTATAGTTTAACCTTGAAACTAGGTTGACATTTAAATTAACCTTTTGTTCCAGAAAACACATCAAATAATTTTGAATGATCTGCTCCTTTATTTTGAAATGGTTGAAACTATCAAAATCAGAATAAAGTGTACTATGTAATTTCAATATAATTGGAATTCAGAATTAAGTTAACTTTTATATTATATAGCAAATTGATAGAATTTTTTTGACTTTTTAAAATAGTTTAAAAAATAATTTATATATTTAATTTAACATTATATATTGTATAAGCAAATGAATCAGTTAAAATTAAATGATAAACATGAGCAGTCATTTGTCATAAAAAACTGTTAGTAAATATAAAATTTAAAGCTGAATATTTGGTATTTATTTGCCTATTTGATTCCATTTTTATGTTATTTGTATCATAGTAATGCTTGGAAAGATTAAATATGTTAATCCATATAAAACTTACATTGCATTAATTGGCATGAGATTACTATATTTGAACATATATCTATAATTAGTTTTCAGGATAATCATGAAAATATGTAGCAGAACTTAACTGATAGCTCTAGTGTGTCACTGCCAGCAAATAAATGTGCCGTGATATCTTATTTCTTATATGACAAGGAAAATGTGCATTTTTAGAGAAAACAAAACACAACTAATTGTAAAATGTACAACAGATGGTGGAACTTATTATCATTCTATCAGACTAATAGTATACTATCTGCGTTTTAAAATTTGCTTTTCCCAAAAGATGATATTGGGTTGAAGCCATATTGACAGCTGGTATATTCCTAATGTAGTTAGTTTGATATACCTCATCTATTAAATCCTGTACATTTTCCAAAATAACATATGACAAGTGAAATTGACCACCTGGGAAAAGGCAATTTCAATAGAAAGAGAAAAAATGATCTTATTTGAGGTGACATTATTAACTGGCCAACATATTATTTGCTTTTAAAGGTACACATTTTTAAACGCAGACAATGATTAGGAGTAATCTGTGGACAGATAACAGATGCTTTACCTATCATGATTCTTAAAAATGTAAACAAGCTTTGTAGAATATCCGTTCAGGAGAGCATATATATCATAAGTTTTACAAATGCTACACTGAAATATAAATTATATTATGGGTTTTTCTAATATAAACAGATGTATCTCACAGACAGCTGAATGGTATATAATCATTTGTATAGATCTTATTAATCATTGAAGAAAGTAAGGCTAGTTGTTTTATATTAATAACATTCAATGTTTGATATTTCCCATTGAATAAGTTGTATGATGAATATTCTTTGGCTTCAATAAGACAAGAGATAATAGATAACTAAGACATGAGAATAACAGACTATAATGGCATAAAAGTCATCTGCTATAAAACTACAATTTCAACTTGGATATATCACTGAAGACTGTATATAACTCTAGTAACAGCTCCTTATATCATTGCATAGACATTCATAAGACTCTTACGTATTTGAGAATTTGTAATCATACATATGATATCCTTAGATGGTATAATAATTCTGATAATTTTCTTTTTTTTTTCTTTTCTTTCTTTTCTTTTTTGAGAAAGGATCTTTCTCTGCCATCCAGGTTGGAGTACTGCAGTGGCACAATGATAGCTCACTGCAGCCTGGAACCCCTGGGATCAATCAGTCCTCCATCTCAGCCTCCCAAGCAGCTGGAACCTCAGGTGCACACCACCATGACTGGCTAATTATTTTTAAATGTGTTTGTTGAGATGGGATTTTGCTTTGTTTGCCAGGCTGGTCTCAAATGCCTGGGCTCAAGTGATCCTCCCACATTGGCCTTCCAAAGTGCTGGGATTACTAATAAAAAATAGTCCAAATGTATTTTAATCTTAAATAAATTGCAAGACTTAACATACAGATACACTCAAATAAAAGGAGACTTCAACCAATAATGCTATATTTTCATTCACATTAGATAAATGTTAAAGATAATTCATTTTAAAAATGTGTGAATTTAAAGATTTTGAGATGAGTAAATCTGTTTAACTTGCAATAACACTCTTTTGGAAACATTTAAATATGAAACTAACAAGATATACATATTTTTGTAACAATACAACTGAACCAAAATACCTGAGGTTTATGTTGATTATCCTCAGAATTTTAATACTTAAATGGTATAAAATATAAAAAGAAATTGCAATTACAAACTCCTATAAATGAACTTATGAATGCTTATAGTCAATAAAACAAATAATTTATTCGTACAAAAGCATACTATTTCTTCAAGTTTTTCAATCAACTAAGTAGATGCAATCAAAATGTGAATAAAAGCCTGTTCACATTTCCAATCACTCCAACTAAGCATTGCCTTCATTGTTTGAAATTCTACTTAAATGTAAAACTAAGTTTACTCTATGATACTAACATGTCTAATATTAATTTTAAAAAGATCAATAGTCTTTAAGCTTAAATTTGCAACTATGTTTTCTAATCTAACAGTAAAATTAAATTTAACTAAAATGATAAATTTACTGTAATCATTATACTATATCAAAATCTAATATGTGATTTAGTTTCCAATAAAATTAATTTATGTTTACAATTACCTATTTTGCATCATAATGCAAAATAAATAATAATATAATAGGTGAGAACCTGTGAAATTCAGAAATGAAGTTATAATTATTAAATGTATACAATAAATAATAAAAAAATGCAAGAATAGAAAAAAGGCAAAAAATGCATGACGCTGCATCTTAGAATAGTTATGGCTATCTGAATAAATTATCATGAAATTCTTACAAATGTATTATTCTACATAGAACTTTATAGAAATAAGAAAGGCTTTGAAAATAAATCATATTACCACTCCAAAATGCACGTGTGGGTCTCATTGTGATTGGCAAAAATCTGTCTTTACATTTAGAGTTTAAACAATTTGTCTCTTTAGAAGACTATAGAAAGGGTTTCTCTTCTGGCACAAAGCAATAAATCTAGAGCCTATATTCCCCACAAATTACAACTAAAAACTCTATGCAATATTCAAAAAATACTGGAGTAAACAAAATAATCAAATAGTAGTACAGATTCAAGGCTTAGAAAAATTACCAAAGCATGAGTTTTCTATTTTTCCCGTTTTCTCTGGAGGGTTTGCCCTCAGGGAGGCATCTAGTCTTGAAGATGTCAGAAAAAGCAAGTGGCTAAAATGAATAGAAATTTATTTCTTTTTTCTGGCCAGGAAATCATTAAAAAGGCACCAATAGGCAAGAGATTGTGGGAGAAAACAGAGAGCAAAGAGCACTTGTACAGGACCCAAAGCAGCATAGAAATGGCATTGTGAACAGAACTGATAATTAAACTGACACATGTAACAAATTAATCCCTGAGTGGCACATATATGGAAGGGATCCAAAGCAGATATAAGAATAGAGTTGATATTTAAACCATAGTTCATATCAAGACTAACCACTGAGTGAAACACGTACAGAAAAGACAAAAAGCAGCATAGCAAAAACTTTAAAACTGATTGAAACTGCCACTCAGGGAAGGTGAAATAGGAGGAGAGTTCAGTATCCTCTGAAGTGCCTTTACTTGCACTGGTTGCATATGATAAATTCAAACACCATCACTAAGCATTCGCACATCAAGAAAATGCTAGGATGGGACATTATTATTGAGGTAACTGACCTGGGTTATACTTCGTTTTTTATTTTTTCTTACCTTATAAGGCATGCCCTTGGAATTATAATCATAAACGTTTAATATATACAATTATTTTATAAATATGAAAATTCATCTTTGCAAAATCATTCTGGACTTTGAGTTTAAAATGACATTTGCCTAAGTTTAACCTGCCCTGAAAGAATGCTTTTGTTACTTGGTAGCAATTCACAACATGTTAGGTTTGAGAGCTACATGAAGTCATTTAACTTTTTTTTTTTGAAAGGACAAACAATTTGGCTACTATTAACTCTGGGAAGGGCTTAGTTTCAATACCACTAGCACGACCACCAGATGAGAAAAAAACTAATTATATTTGAAACCTTGTTGTGTAATATTCAGGTCATTTCTCATGTCTTCATATTTTGGGTAAGATATAAAAAATTAATCTCTGTGCATATTCTCTATAAATAACACCATCCTCAGTTTCTTCTTACATAATATTAATTAATTTATAAATAATACTAGTCTAGCTTTTTGTAACTAGTGTGTCAAAGCACACATATATACTGAAAATAGTCACTGGAGTGTCTTGTTATTCATTCTCTCAGCAGTCAGGGCATCCACATAGGCTTTGGGGGAACTGGGACTCTTACAATGGTTACTTCTTGCCACCTAGAACTCTGTCCCTCTATCTCAGGTGCCACAAAAATATTAGTAGTTTGCGTGTTTGTTCAAAGTCCATAAGTTTACTGCCTCTTCATCTTCAATGTCATGGACTTTAACATTTTATATACTTTCTCAAGGATACATGTTGAACAATTTTATCTGCAATCTTGTTGTAGTTATACATATACACATGCACTTGCATAAGTGTGCACATACATACCTCTATTAAACATAGAGTCCCATTTATTCCAACTATTACACTTTTAGATTAGTCTTTTTTATTCCTTTATTCCCTCTAGTAGCTTTTAAATTATATAACTTCTTTCTTTTATTTTAGAAGTGTGTTTATCATCTTTAGAAAAATACAATAGTAATAGAACATTAATTTTAACCACCTTCCTATTTATATACAACTACTTCATTCATTTTAACAATGTTCTGTTTATTTTATAATTTTGTAAGATATTATTTTATTTAACATCAATATGTATTATCCTTACCCAAAATTTTATATATATTTAAACTCTTTATTAATAATTGGGCCTTTTGAATGATTATTTCCTCATTTCTTACTTATCTAAATGTATCTTTAATTTTTGCCCGTCTTGTCAAAATATGTTGATTATAAAACTTTCATTTGTTGTTTTCTTAAAAACATTTAAAGCTCTATTCTCTTGTCTTGTAATTTATATTACTTAGCTGGAAAAGTATGATATTATACAATTTCATTGTATTGTTTGATTGTGAATTTCTGTTAAATTATTCTGCATTTGCAAAGGTAAACAGCATTTTTTAAAATGGATGGATAATGTAAGCAGAAAAATAAACATTCTAAGAATCAAAGTGAAATGCTAGAGATCAAAAACTCTGTAATAGAAAAGAAGAATTTTTGATGGGCCCTCTGAGACAGTAGGTATGACAACAAATTATATAAGGTATAATCTATGTAGGTATATTTATAAAAATACCAGATAAAAGGAAATGAACAGAAGCAATATTTGAACCAATAATGACTGATAATATCTGATGATTTTCCTAAATTAATGTCAGACACAAAACTGCAGTTTTGGGAAGTTCAGAGATAATAAGGGAGGGTATATACAATACCCTTGCCAATCACAAAAAACAACAAACAAACAAAACCTATACTTAGGCCTCTAATATTTAAGCTCCAGAAAATCAAAGATAAAGGAAAACAGTCTTTAAAAAGGCTGAGTATGGCGTTGAATCTATAAATTACCTTGGGCAGTATGGCCACTTTCACGATAACACTTCTTAAAAGAAGACATTTATGCAGCCAAAAGACACATGAAAAAATGCTCATCATAACTGGTCATCAGAGAAATGCAAATCAAATCCACAATGAGACACCATCTTACACCAGCTGGAATGGCGATCATTAAAAAGTCAGGAAACAACAGGTGCTGGAGAGGATGTGGAGAAATAGGAACACTTTTACACTGTTGGTGGGACTGTAAGCTAGTTCAACAATTGTGGAAGACAGTGTGGCGATTCCTCAGGGATCTAGAACTAGAAATACCATTTGACCCAGCCATCCCATTACTGGGTATATACCCAAAGGACTATAAATCATGCTGCTATAAAGACACATGCACATGTATGTTTATTGTGGCACTATTCACAATAGCAAAGACTTGGAACCAACCCAAATGTCCAACAATGATAGACTGGATTAAGAAAATGTGGCACATATACACCATGGAATACTATGCAGCCATAAAAAAGGATGAGTTCATGTCCTTTGTAGGGACATGGATGAAGCTGGAAACCATCATTGTCAGCAAACTATCGCAAGGACAAAAAACCAAACACCACATGTTCTCACTCATAGGTGGGAACTGAACAATGAGAACACATGGACACAGGAAGGGGGACATCACACACTGGGGCCTGTTGTGGGGTGGGGGAGGGGGCAGGGATAGCATTAGGAGATATACCTAATGTTAAATGACGAGTTAAGGGATGCAGTGCACCAGCATGGCACATGTATACATATGTAACAAACCTGCACGTTGTGCACATGTACCCTAAAACTTAAAGTATAATTAAAAAAAAGGCTGAGTAGAAGAGGGGTCACTAAATATAGAGGAGCAAGGATAAAAATTGTTTCTAATTTATCAGAAATCATACCATCAAGAAGAGAGAAAAGTAAAATATTTGAAGTTTTGAAAGAACAAAAATGTCAACTTAGAATTCCACACCCTGCAAAATTATCCTTCACTTAGAAAAGAGAACAGCAAGTTAGAATAGAGAATAATTGAGGACATTTTTTGCCAAAAGACCTATCTTGCAAGAAATGTTAAAAAAAAAAAAAAAAACTTTTTTAGGGAAAAAAAGGTGTTGATCAGATACATAAATGTATATTCAAAAAAGATCATCAGTTATAAGTAATCAAAAAGAAAATACATTTATTTTTCTTATTCTCAACTAATCTAATGTTTGTTAAAATAATAAGAGCAATAATATTTTCAATTACACATGCTTACAAATATATTCATATCTATCTGTCTATAAATATACAAATACATCCACTACTTATATATTCTTATTTATAAGTAAAATAAATGATAACAACTATATGAATGATAAGTGGAAACAATTGGGAATATTTGTTTTAAGGTACTTACGCTGCCTATGGATTTGTATAGTATTTTTTGAAGTAGATTTGGATTACTTGTGAATCTATATTAAAAATTTTAGGGCAAAAATTAAAGGAAGTAATGAGAAGTGTAATTGATATTCAAAGAAAGAAAAAAATCATATAAAATGCTCAATTAAAAACCACAAGACAAAAAAGTGGGTAAGACAAAGCAGAAACAAGACAAAGAACAAGGACAACAAACAGAAAACAAACAAATATGGTTGATAACTTAAAAATCAGGGTTCTATATGCACCATTTAAAAACAAAGTTTAATATTTATAGCATTTTATAATTTTCTATTATACATTTAGATAAAGCAGACCAGAGTAACAAAAGTTATCAGTAATACAGTGAGACATTACATTATGACAAAAATATAAATTCTTCAAGAATACATGACTATCTTTAATGTGTACACAATCACCAACAAACCATTAGAATATGTGAGATTAAAAACTAATATAATCATTAGAAGAAATAAAACAATCCATCATTACAATTGGAAACTGTAACATCTCTCTATCAGAAATGAACAAATCCAGCAAGCAGAAAATTAGTAGGCACATTGTTTGCCTCAACGTCACCAAATGGAGATAACTGATATCTATCCAACACTTCATCCAACTACAGAACACATACTTCTGAAGCTTATGTGGAACATTCACCAAGATACATCATATTCCAAGCCATAAACACACCTGAACAATTTGAAAGATTAGAAATCATACAATGTCTGCTTTCAGAGTATGATGGAATTAAACAAAAACACAGCTTAAAAAGTACCCAAATACTTGGAGATTTAAAAACATACTTCTAAGTAATATGAGTCCAAAAAACCTCAAAATAAATTTTAAAATATTATAAAGAAAACCACAACTTATGAAAATCTGAGGGATACAGTGAAAGCAGTGTTTAAGGCAAATTATGGCACTGAATGTATGCATTAGGAAAGAAGAAAGCTTCAAAAGCAATAATCTAGGTTCCTACCTTAGCAAACATGAAAAGAAAGTTAAATCCAAACTAAGCAGACAAAAATAATAAAAATAAGAGCAGAAGTCAATGAAGTTTTAAACAAATCAATTGAGAAAATCAAAGTAACTAAAAGCTAGTTCCTTGAAAACATAAATAAAATCAATAAGCCTCTTGCCAGAACAAGACAAAAGAGACAGAACACAAATTACTAATATTGGAAGTGGAAGAGGGAGTATCATTAAAGATCACAGACACATTAAAAATAAATGCTGTGAACACTATGCCCACAAGTTTGATAACTTAGATGAAATAGACCAAGTCATAGAAAGATATCATATTTTAAAACTCACGCGAGAAGAAATAGATAATCTCAATAGGCCCATATATATTAAAAAATTTGAATTTATAATTAGTAACCTTTCAGAACAGAAAATACAAGACTTACATGTGTTCACTATTAAATTTCACCAAAATATTAAATAATAAATTATGCCAATTCTCCACAATCTCTCCCAGAAAACAGAGAAGACAAAATACCTCTTAACTTATTCTATGAGGTCCATATTACACAAATACAAAAATCAGAAAAAAGATGACAAGAAAACAAAACTACAAAACAATATTTTTAAAACATAGAGGTAAAAATCCTCAGGGAAATATTAGCGAATTGAATCTAACAATGTATAAAAAATTATATACCACATGAAGTGAGATTTATCCAACTTATGCAAAGCTGTTTCAACACTTGAATATCAATTCATGCAATTTGTTATATCAACAGGCTAAATAAGAAAAAATATCATCCTATCAACAGATCAACTAAATGCATTTGACAAAATCCAACACTAGTTCATTATAAAAATATTTTAGAAAACAAGTAATAGAGAGTAACTTCATCAACCTGATAAAGAATAACTACAAAACAATGCCAGATAAAAATATTATTGGTTAAAAATTCTAAACTTACCTACTAATATCAGGAACATGGCAAGTATGCTCCCCTCACTACTGTTTTTCAACATTATACTAAAAAATACATAATAAGACATTAAAATACAAAATGCTTCTGGTTTCAGATGGCTGGCTAGCAGCTAGTGAGTGCTGCTTTCTTGGAGAGGAATCAAAATAGCAAGTAAATAGTTACACTTCAAATAGATCATGTAAGAGAGCACACTGGAATTTATTAGAGAATCAACAAGATTTATGGAAAGCAAAGAAAGTGAAGTTCGGTAGCCTGCTGAACTGGGACTGATGTGGCACTGGGAGAAGCTTCCTGATAAAAGAACGGAGTGAGACGCCCACAGTTTCACATTTCTATTATGAAAATTTATAATTCTAGTTATAGAGGTGCCCTCAATACTCACAAGACTCCAGGCTAACACAAGGAACTGCCTGGAAATTTTGCAGAAGTATTGCTTGAGCCCATGTGGAATTCTGTAATCACCCAATGGGTTCACCTTGCCCACAGCCTAGAAAGAGCCTATTTAAAAGGAAAGGAAATTGCAATAGAGAAAGAGAAATTTACTCAGAGACAGCTGTGTAGGAGAGCAGAGTTTTATTATAGCTCAAATTACTCTCCCTGAGAATTCAGGGATCAGAGTTTTTAAGGATAATTTTGCAGGCAGGTGCTCGGGAAGTGGGGAGTGCTGATTGGTTGGGTTGGAGATGAAATCACAGGGGTCCAAGTGAGTTTTTCTTGCTGTCTTCTGTTCCTGACTGGAATCATGGAACTGATTGTGCCACATTACTGGTCTGGGTGGTGTCAGGTGGTACATTGGAACACAAGGTTTGCTAAATATCTCAAGCACTGATTTTAGGTTTTACAATGATGATGTTTTTCCATGCTCATTTTGGAGAGTTTCAGACTCTTGCAGTCAGAGGCTGCATGGCCCCTAAATTGTAATTTAAAGTCTTGGAGCTAATTTGTTAGTCCTACAACGGCAAACTGGTCCCCAGGCAAGAAGGGGGTGTGTTTTGGGAAACAGGTATTATTGTCTTTGCTTCAAAGTGACACCATAAACTATGTTCCTCCAAAAGGAACACCTAGGAATGAACAAGGAAAGCTTAAAGGTTAGAAGCAAAATGGAATCGGCTAGGTCTGATCTCTTTCACTGTCATAATTACTTTAGTTATAATGTTTGCAAAGGTGGTTTTAATTCCTTCCTTTGCATTTTATAACATTTTAATCTTAAGGTGTGGGCTAATAAAGATAGAAAAAGGTTGACAACAGATCTAACACCTTCCTGCTGACGGAGTGGTAATGGGGTAGATGTTGACCCCAAGGTGAGAGGAGTAGAATCACTTTGCAGCTGTCTGAGCTGTCTGAACATATTCAAGCAGGCCAGACTGGGGTTCCAAGGCTTTCATAACAAAGGTGTTAGTATTCTCATCTATAGCTTAGGTGCAGCATTTAAATAGATGGCATATTATAAGGTAAATAATGGATACAATAGGATAAAATAAATAAATAGGATAAAAAATGGATAGCATAGGATAAACAATAGGATAAAATAAATAAATAGGATAAAAAGTGAAATTCCCAGTTTAAAAAAAAAAAAGCATTAGTTTGGGGACTTGTCGCCACAATGAATTTAAGATTTTGTCCAAATTGCTGAAAAACTCTCCTCAAGAACAACAGGTGTACTGCAGTGTTTTAAAAAAACATATTTTTTTCTCTCTTCCATCCCCATTTTATTAACGATAAATCATAGTAGGTTAAGTTTACTTGCAAAACAAGTTTTATTCTTATTATAATAGGCCTGATTTTTTTTTGCATAAAATGCAGTAGGAATAATTATTTGCCATATAGGAGCTTAAAAAAATAGCATTGCTGAAACTTTGTTCTATAAAAAAATCTCAGATTTACTTTTTAAAGACTTAAAGCCCAGCCATGGACTTACCTATGCCTGCAAATACATGTATGAGTTTGATGAATTTTTGTCCTCTCTTGGTGCCAAGAAAATTTTCCTCCTTTCTAGGTCCCAGGGGTTCCTGGGCCTGTCAGAAAGTGACATTCTTAACTTACCACAGGTCAGGAACCATGTACAGGAAATGTGTAGACAAGGTATAAGCCCAGCTTCCTGAGGAGCTTTTATTGACTCAGTAAGTCAACACTGATTCCTTAAAGAAAGCATGCCATTCCAGTCACAGCCTTCATAAAATAACCAGTTTCTCTGATCGTGTCCTTTTATGAAAGAAAACAGACTCTTATTGCTTTTATGCAAATTACTATACTGACATAACTTGACAATACTCATAATACTTTCTAAATTCTAGAGAAATCAGGTGGAGAGAAAGCAATATGCTCCAAATTTTGCTCCCAGGAGTATACTTTACTCACTTGCTAAGAGTTGTAAATAGTTTAAAAGAAATGTTTCTTTGACTCTGTAAAACAAAAGGATTAGCAATCTTTAACAAATCAACTCTCTGTGAGAGTCCTAGAAGTTTGTTTCTTTCCTATATTTCAATCACAGAGTGTCTAAAGTTATGAGGCCTGAATTCAATAGGACCCATCAGAGTCCTATTGCTGATTATAAACTGCCTTTTGAAAAGAATGAAAACAAGATAACAATTGTCTGTGGATGACAAAATCTCAGGACAGTCATAGTTGAAGATGCAAAACAACAAGGAAATATGATCATCTCTGTGACACATAACAATTTACCATAACAATTATAATTATTACTGATAGGCTATACTGCGACATATCAGAATTTATAGGAACCTTGTAAAATCTTGTAACACAAACTAATAACATATTTATATCAATATAACCCAAAGAAAGTTAAACACAATTTTATATTTGACACTGTTTTCTGCATGATTTTAATATGTCAAATAAGCTAAATGTGTGTCTTTTTTGGACTTTAGGAGACCTAATTTTTTTAAAACTTAACTTAGAATTTGATCTTAAAAGGTTTGTCAAATATGAAAGGTTTAAAATACTAGACATTTACAGGGCGCAGTGGCTCACGCCTGTAATCCCAGCACTTCGGGAGGCAGAAGAGGGTGGATCACGAGGTCAAGAGATCGAGACCATCCTGGCCAACGTGGCGAAACCCCGTCTCTACTAAAAATATAAAAATTTGCAGGGCATGGTGGCATGTGCCTGTAATCCCAGCTACTTGGGAGGCTGAGGCAGGAGAATCACTTGAACCTGGGAGACAGAGGTTGCAGTGAGCCGAGATCGCGCCACTGCACTCAGCCTGGTGACAGAGCGAGACTCCATCTCAAAATAAATAAATAAATAAATAAATAAATAAATAAATAAATAAATAATACTATATATCACAAAATAGAATCTCAGGTTACCATAGGTCATTCATTCAGCCAAAATGATAACTCAAAAATTTTAAAAAGGAAAAAACCTTTACTGTGATAGGAGATTTAGCTTTCCAAATAACAAGACCCAGGGAAGGCAGCATGAGGCCAGTTGAATCTGTCTCTTCTCTTTCCCTCCTTGTTTTTTGTAGTTTACTCAAAAGGCAAATGAAAACCTTTTATTGTTTATCAAAATAACATAAAAGTGTTTTTCAAAAAAGAAAATCAAATTTAATATTTGTGTTAGTGCATCTTTAATGCTAAGGCTAGTTTTTAATTAACCTTTGTAAATTCATTCCGTTTTAATTAGTTTGACCATAATGTAAGATTTTCATAAACTTTTAGGACCCTTTGCAATCTTCTGTTAAACAGCAGATCAATTTTTTAAGAAAACCCCATTATTTGGACCCATGGGCCGAGATTTTGGCCCTGCATCAGTGTGCTTTTGTTTGATGTTCAACCTATGGAAAAAATCTAAATAATTCCCTTCACATCTTAGCTAAATTGCTCATACCCACATCACTTTCCTCACAAGATGAATCCTTCACGAACCTGTTCAACTATCTTAATCTTTTAGCATTGTCCATTACTCTTTTAGTTAAGACAATCTTTAAAACCCTCTGAACAAGACAAAATTACATTCTGTTGAACAAAAACCATATTTCCATGCCTTCTTATAATCCCCTACCAAAACCGCATTCTACTTTCCTTCTAGACCTTGCAACCTTGCATGTAAAACTGTTTTTCCAGTAGTTTCAAGTACATATTACACTGTTACATTTCAGCAACTTTCATTTTTGGTGAAAACCCAATATTGAAAGATATTTTAATTATGTACTAGGTGTGAAGCCTAGGACATTAGGCAGAAGTCCAAATAAGGTCTGACTGTTTCCAGCATAAT
Organism: Homo sapiens; assembly: GCF_000001405.40. NCBI lineage: Eukaryota > Metazoa > Chordata > Mammalia > Primates > Hominidae > Homo > Homo sapiens. Next base: position 67,409,107 of record NC_000006.12, on the reverse strand, counting down.
TAGGGGACACAGCTAACTCCGTATGTCCCCAGGCCTTATCTAGAATCTAATGGCTTTAAAGTAGGTAATTCGAACAAAATTGTCAAAGAAGCAGTTGATGACCTTAAAGCATTTAGCAAACCTAATATCTGACCTGCCTAATTTAGGCCAGCTGTCTAAATTTTGAAGACATCATAATTTTACCAATAATCTTTAAAATTGTCTTGATTTCCAAGAGATTACTAAAGTCACATGAACTAAAAGTCATTAAAGGTCCTATTTTTCTGAAAAAAATATTTGAGTTAAACACTTATTTTTCTTTAAACCAGTGAATTAGAACTCTTTAATATAAACATCACACACACACACACACACACACACACACACACACACACACACATATATAAATACAGAGAGACAGAAGATCCAGTAGTTGTAAGATTTTTTTACTTACCAGATTCTTAATTGGATTACTGGCTTCAGGGTGGAGACTTTGGAGGAACAGGGCCAGGAGAGTATGCAGTTTCTAGGGTGTAATAAGCAGGCACATCCGGAAGGCAAAAACAGATCCTCAAAATTAGAGGTTCCATTATTATATTACATCCTAGATCTCCCAAAAGAAAGAAATGGTACAGCACGATGCTTTTACTGCCCATTTCATTGCAAGGCAATCCAAAGCCAGTCAGCCCATTTTGTAATCAGCCCATTCACCATGGGAATCTGATCTCTCACTTGGGGTTGAGGATGTTTCCATACCTCTCAGGTGGCCCAAAAGCATGCAAGCATGCAAAGCGCCAAGTATCCCTACATAACTGCAATTAGCCATACCTTAAAATATATTTCCTACCTAGTTATTACACATTAAGGCTAAAAGCTCTTTCACAATGCAAAGTATTCTCTGATAGCCCCAAAAGTAAAAAATGTCAGGTAACATAATGTAAAACAGAACAGAGCCTTAGATTTTGAAAGGAGTATGTCCTCCTTCAATTCCTGGGGTTTCATGAGGAAAAGAGGTTTTTCCTAAAATGAGGTCTGTGATGCCTCCTGTTTTTCCCAAGGAGTTCCAGGCTGTTAGAAATTATCTCAGGTCCTTTCATGTGGGCATTGAGAGTTGCAAGAAGATAAACTGAGAAAACAACTGATGGAGAAAACAAACAAAAATCTTTTCTCAATAAAACAAGATTAAACAAGAGAAAAAGCACAAATGTCGTGTGTGTGTGTGTGTGCGCGTGGGTGTGTGTGTGTGTGTCTGTGTGTGTAGCTTGGATGTCTATTTTTTAATTAAGCTGACTTTTAACAATAGGGCTCTGTAAAATATATATATATTTTATATATATATTTTATGTATGTATTTTATATATATACAAATTTATATATATATTTTATATATTATATATACACATTATATATATTATATATACACATTATATATATATTTTATATATATACATTATATATATTTATATATATTTTATATATATATTTTATTTATATATATATTTTATATATATATTTAGATATATATTTTATATATATATTTATATATATTTTATATATATATTTAGATATATATATATATATTTATATATATATTTATATATAATATATATATTTATATATATATTATATATATATTTTATATATATATTATATATATATTATATATATATTTATATATATTTTACATATATATATTTATATTTATATATATTTATATATATATATATTTATATATATATATATATATATATATATATATATATATATATATATTTTTTTTTTTTTTTTTTTTTTTTTTTTTTTAAGTCTCTTATTACCTGACTGTAGCCAGGCCAAACAACCAGTAGTTTTGGCCTTTGAACTTTACCAGAAGTAATCTGCCAGGTGAAACCCATAAGCCTTAACAAAAGTTATGACTTAACCACAGTACACAAAGTGTTTTCAAAGAAGTGGTAAGCAGTTTTTACAAGATTTAAAGTCTACCGTGGTAGCTCAGAGAAAGGAAAATTTAAGAAGGGAAGTCATAAGTTGTTTATGGAGGGGAAGAGAATCAACAAATGGCAAAGGTTGAATACACAGAAAGTATTCATTCCCTAGGTGGAAAATTGAACCTGAGCCACCATTGTGAAAAGACAAAGCCTTAGCTTTTGAGCTACAGCATTGGTCAGGTTTCATTATGATTCCCAGAATGAACCTAGAACAGCCAGTTTCGAGCTTGCAACAGTTTTTATCTGCTCAAGATATTTTTTAGAGCTAACTATGATATGAACCACAACATTTCTGTCCTCTGGATGGCAGGGACCAAGAGAAAGTACCACCAGACTGTTGCAAGGTCAAACTCACAAGAGCATTAAACAAGATGAAAGGGAAACCTCATCTAGTATTAATTTCAGGGACCCACAGCAAAGTTTGTAACTGACAAATCTGCCGAACTAGCTTGAACAACAGGCTTATAGGGGTCCTAAGCCCACATTTTATCCTGTTGTACCACTTTCCATTACAAAAAGACACAGAAAGACAAATTTATACCACAAAGTACACCAGATTATCTACAGCTCAAGACTAGTCTCACAAATCCTTTTTTCAATTGATCAAACCCTTGCAGAGGAGACAAACAGTGATGTTTATGATTTACACAAAGTGGGAGAGAGGCCAGAAACCTGACTGGTAAAAAATTATTACTCATTTTGCCGGCACACAAGGTTTCTGAATTCCCTTGTTCTGCAGCTTCCAGAAGGATAGAGTGGCTTTTCATGACCCCACTCACTATGCCATAGCTGTGGGGGTCAAGCCATACGATAAAAGAAAATAATGATTTTCTGTATTATGGAACCATAGGCAAAAGCTTATCAATTTTGCAAGATGCTGCTCAGCTGGCTGCATGGCGCACCGAATTAACATTTTTCATCCCAGCTCAGTAAAATACACATAACCAGACAGATGCTACTCACTTTATTCAACACCCAGTATCAACCAGGCAAGGCTCAAACTTTCTCCTGTTCGTCCCTGCCATCTTTAATCCACTCAAGGTGGGGAAGGATGACTTCCAAATGGGAATTCAATAGGTTGTCTCTGGGCAAGATGAAGAGCAAACACTCTAGTCAGGCTGTTGAGCTTTTTTCAGGACTCATTGAATGTGAACACACTTATACAGGGTTCTAGGAGTTAGGCCTGCTGGATCTCCATCAGCAATTCCTTCAGATCCCCTCCACACATACAAACACATACAACGAAGACAAGATGGACAGAAGACCTTCCAAACCAAGATACCTAGCCAAAAATTTCAAGAGTACTCATTCCAAACTAACCTCCTATTCTGTCCGAGAAATCTCCTTAAGAATCTTCCCAGTTGAAGTGAAGTCTCCAAAACCAAGACTCTTCCTACTAATTAGGGCAAACTGAGACCACACTAAAAGAGCTGAACAAAGACCTCAAATGAGCCGAATCGAGATCCCCAAGGAGCCAAACCAAGACCCCCAAAGGAGCCAAATAATGATCCTTTAAGGAGCCAAACCAACTGGGAGAAGGAAGCAGATGTTGGCAGTGTCTAGAATACACACTAGACCAGTTTAAAGATGTCTTTTCAGTAACTATTTCTCTATTGGAATTAAATCAATACATCATGGGTCAGCAGCACCCCACCAGTAGAGATAGTGCCAGAGTCAGCCCCTAGTCCAAGAGAATGAGGCAGCCACTTGTGCTGGCCTCTGGATCCATTGCCAGAGGGGGACTACCAAACTTCGGGCAGGTAGCCACAAGGGCAATCCCAGATGAACCACCAAATTTTCAGTCACCCAGTGGGTTCACCTTGGCCACTGCCTAGACAGAGCCAATTTGTCAAGTCAGGGGAATTGCAATAGAGAAAGAGTAATTCCTGCAGAACCAGCTGTGGAGGACACCAGAGTTTTAGTATTACTTAAATTAGTCCCCCTGAAAATCTGGAGATCAAAGAAACTATGAAAGTCCTAGAAGAAAGCATAGGCAAAACTCTTCTATGCAAATAATTTATAAGTAAGACCTAAAAAGCAAATGCAACAAAAAAATATACAAATGGATCTTAATTAAACTAAGAATCTCTGCACAGCAAAAGAATAATCAATAAACAAGCAACCTAAAGAATAGAAGAAAATTTTGTAAACTATGCCTCTGACACAGTAGTAATATATAGAATTTACAAGAAACTCAAAGTCAACAAGAAAAACTAAATAACCCTATTTAAAAATGGGCAAATGACATGAACAGACATGTATCTAAAAAAGACATGCAAGCGGCCAACTAACCTATGAAAAAGTTCTCAACATCTCTAATCACCCAAGAAAAGTGAATTAAAACCACAATGAGACAACATCTCACACCAGTCAGAGTGGCTATTATTAAAAAGCAAATAAACAATAGATGTTGGGGAAGCTTGGGGAAAAGGGAATGCTTGTGCATTGTTGGTGGGAATGAAAATTAGTACAAGCTCTATCAAAAACATTATGGAGATTGCTTAAAGAACAAAAAATAGAACTTACATTCAACATAATAATCCCATTACTGGGAAAAGTAAATGTTAACATCAAAAAGACATATGCATTTATGTGTTTATCACAGTACTATTCACAATAGCAAAGTGATGGAATCAGCCTTTGTCCATCTACAGATGTTTGGAAAAATAAAACATATATACCATGAAATACTGTGCAGCCATAAAAGAGAATGAAATCATGTCTTTGCAGCAACATGGATGGGCTGGAGGCCATTATGCTAAGTGAAATAACTCAGAAACAGATAATTAAATACCAAACATTCTCACTTATCAGTAAACTAAACAAAGGTACACATGGGCATGCATATAAAAATAATAAACACTGGAAACTCCAAAATCAGGAAAGGAGAGAATAGAAGGAAGGTTGAAAAATTACGTATGAAGGACAATGTTAATTATTTGTGCTGTATACACTAGAAGCCGAAACTTCACCCTTATGCAATATATTCATGTAACAAACCTGCAAGGGTACCTCCTGAAATTTTACATTTTAAAAGAAATTTAAAACAATGCATTTTTAAGAGAAAAACATATTCATATTGGGAATGAATAAATAAAACTGTCTTTGTTTACAGATGGCATAGTTGTCTACGTAGAAAATTAAAAATATTTGACAAATAGACTCCTGGAACTAACAGCAATTATAACAAGGATACAGGATACAATGTTAATGTACCATAGGCAATCAATTTTCTATATACTAGCAATAATCATGTGGAATTTGAGGTTAAAAATGAAATACCATTTACTTTTGTACCACCCCAAAATTTAACACTTAGGTAGAAATATAACAAAATACACGCAACTTTATATAAGGAAAATTACAAAACTCTGATAAATAATTAAATTAATGAAGAGGAATTTCATGTCCATTGACAGAAAGGCTCAATATTCTTAAGATTTTAAGGTCTTCCCAAATTAATCTATAGACTGAATGCAATCCCTTTAAAAACCTCAATAAGGTTATTTTGTGGATACCTGTGTCAACAAACTTACTCTAATGTTGTCATGGAGATGCAAAATACTCAAATAATTAACTCAATATTGAAGCAGAACAAGATAGTGAGAGGACTGACACCAACAAACTTCAAGACTTACTACAAGTTTGCAATTATCAAGACAGTGTGGTAGCAAAATAATGGACAGATTGATTAAAAAGAATAGAGGATCTAGAACTAAACCCACATAAATATAGTCAACTAATCACTGACAAAAAAGGAAATGTAATAAATGAAAAAAAATAGTCATATTAACCAATAATGATTTAAAAACCTGGACATCCACGTGCAAAAAGTAATAAATAAATAAAAGACACAGACCTTCTATCTTTTACAAAAGGTAAATTAAAATGAATTATAGGAGTAAATGTAGAACGTGAAACTATAAAACTCCTAATATATAACATAAGAAAACCTAGATAAATGAGTATGGATATCACTTTTCAGATGAAAAACCAAAGTTATGATACATGAAAGAAACAATTGACTAATGAGGCTTGATTATAATGAAAAATTCTTGTTCTGTGAAAAACAATGCCAAAAGAATGAGGAGATGTCACAAACTGGTAGAAAAAATTTGCAGATTATTTTCTAATGTTAAGGACTATTGTTTAATAAATATAATAAAGGCTATTTTACAAAATGTACACATAATTTGTAAAACTCAAAAATAAGAAAATGAAAAACCTAATTATGTATGGGGGGTGGGGGGCGCAAAATCCTGAAGTGACATCTTACTGAAAACAATGCAAATTGCATGTAAGCATATGGAAAGACGCTTATCATATGCCATCAAGGAAATGCATATTTAAACAACAATGAGATACCAAAACACATCCATTAGAATAATCAAAATTCAAAACACAGAAAGCACCAAACGCTGGCAAAGATGTAGAGCAACAGAAATTCTCATTCACTGCTGATGGGAATGCAAAACAGTATATTTTCACTTTGGAAGACAATGTGGCAGTTTCTTAGAAAACTAAACACAGTCTTACCATGCAATTCAGCTATTGCACTCTTTGTCATTTACCCAAATGAGTTCAAAACGTATGTTCACACCAAGACTTGCAGGTGAATATTTATAGCATTTTCACTTATGATTTCCAAGACCTGGAATCAAACAACATATTCTTCAGAAGGTGAATCAACAAATAAACTGTGCTATATCCAATGAAATATTCAGTGCTAAAAAGAAATGAATTATGATATCGAGCTATGAAATGACACGAAGAAAACTTAAATGTATATTACTAAGTAAAAGAAGCCAATCTGAAAAGGCTACATACTGTATGGTTCCAACTTTATAACATCCTGGAAAAGGTAAAGGTATGTTGTCTGCGAAAAGATCAGTGGTTTCCAGGGATTAGGGAAGTAAATGGGATTAACAGAGCAAAGAAGGTTTTTATATCAGTGAAACTATTTAATGCAATACTACCAATGACAAATACAAATTACTATACCTTTGTTAAAACTCATAGAATGCACAACACCAAGAGTGAATCCTAATGTGAATTATGGACTTTGAGTGGTAGATTATGCAGGTTATGTAGGTTAAACAATTATAGCAAAGGTGCCACTCTGATGGGAGAAGTTGATAGTGAGGGAAGTTGTGTGTGTGTGGTGGGGAAATCAGAGCTTTCTGCTCAATTTTGCTGTAAGCCAAAAACTTCTCTAATACAGTTTATGAATTTTTTTAAATGGACATAACGTATAAGGGCTTCTAATTGATTTTAACTAAAATGTGAACTAAGTGAACACTATTATGGCATGTATTACAGAATGACTTTAAGGCTCATTTAATAAGTAACAAGAGACTATTTTCATTCGTACCAACCCAGCCTTAAGTTTCATTGGAAATGAGCATTTGGTGTACTAGAAACTTAAAAGCATTTTTAAAAATTTGGGTTATTTGGCTGAGTATGAGAATAACAGAAATGGCAACAGTGGTTCATCCCTCTAAGCTATCTTAGAGTAACCAAGGTAGGAGAGGCTCAAGATCTGGTCATTCTTTCTGAGGAAGAATGTGACTGGTTATCTATAGAGGTTTTATTAATGAATCCACTTTGAGCACAGACTGGTTGTACTGTCTCACATTTTTAGTTGCTCAATATATTATTAGAAGAAAGTCCTAAAGATTTCGATTGAGTCTATGATTATCACCTATAGGCAAACAAAACATTCACCTCAGTAACTTTACTCTCTTATTGGAGCTCAATTTTCTTATAACACTCCTGACACTCCAGCCCCTTTTGATAAGAAGCTTACCTGATTTTAACTTCTTCTTCTCCAAAAGGTAATTAAATGTATTGTAGTATCCTGATTTGTTTCTTGAGACATAAAACAGACGTTAGTAAAAGGTTTATGAAATAATATAAAAGCTTAATGTTAATACTATTATAGTTATGTTAATTGCTTAATATTAACAAATGTGTCTTCATTATATAAGATGTTAATGCTAGGGAATACTAGGGGAATGTGTATGAGAACTTGCTGTAGTATGTGTACAACTGTTCACTATATCTAAAATTATTACAAACAAAAAGGGCTATTTTTTAAATTACTGAATGTCTTAACATTATATTGGCTTACTTGAAGCTGACTCAGGTGCAGCACCAAAGGTCAACCTACTGGCCTCCTGCACTCTCTCTCTTAAGGAAATATAGAAAACTAGTACAATATTTTAGGGACAGTAATGATGATTAAATTCTCTCACTCATTGTATTTTAAAAACAAAAATCAGTTATGTTAACCCTAACTTTGTTCATATGACTTTTGTCGTTCTAAGGCAAGATATTGATGCACAGGAAATAAAATAGAAAAGGCCTTGAAAATAAAAACTAAGAATTATTTGACCTTTATTCTTCAGGTCAATATACAAAGATTACTTCCTTAGCTTTTTGTAATTCTAGTTTTCTGGTAATGACTTCTATTTTTTAATATTACATGACAAAATAATTATGTCTTTATGAAATTATTTTGATAAGGATTGCTTGCCTCATTTAAAAATGACAATAATTTCCCTCCTTTTCTTTTCCTAATAAGGTTATAGCAATGTCTTTATATTCCCCACTGGACACTTCTGTAATTTCTTGCTCCTCCTAATACAGAGTGTCCCTCTAATCACCTATTAAGCAAACATGAGGTCTCAGTACTTTTACCAATTCTTCTACCCAACCCTCATTTTGCCTCTGTCAAATTTCACTTTTATATTATCCATGTTATTGTGTATATTCTGTTTTATAAGTAACGGTAATATTGATAATGTTTTGTCTATAGGTTCATTCTGAAATGTGAAATCAACATGATTATGCTATATAAATAGTAATGAAAGCAGGGTCATGCATCTCATTATGAAATAATCTCCTTTAAAGAACTCCCACGTTCATGACCCTATACAAATCAAAGGCTAGTATTCTTAGTATGAAAGTTCATTGAGCTCTAAACTATATTTTCTCAGGAATGTGTCATGTTCTTAGTTACCCTTATATTAGGATTTTACTACTCTCGAACTTTTTTGTCTTCTTTCCCCTTGTATTTTTAATTTCTTTCTTTGTTTTCTGTGCCACCTTCTTTGATTATTCTCCAATTTGCCTAAGATTTCTCTCATGCACCCTAGTCTTCTGAATCCTTTTGTTTGCCATAGTCACATTTACTGATTAGTTCTACATATTGGTGTCAATCTGGACTTACTATTCTGTAGACTGGCTACAAATTTCATGACCATAGATTTCCCTATATGACTTCACTTGTTCAACTTTATTTGCTCCTAGAATTTTTTTTTCAGCATCCGGCTTTATTTTATGGTCTTTTCAGATTATAATTATGTTATATTGCTTATTCGCTTGTTCATACAGCAATTGTTTTTCCCACTAGGAAGTTAGCTTCATTAGAACAAGTAACTTTCCTGTCCTTTTTCTCACATAGCTAAATGCGTAGCACAAAATATGTACAAATTCATGTTTGTTGACAAAGTACTGGAAACAAAAAAATGCATCTCTGATGAACAAAATGTTATTGAAAGTGAAATTCTTAGAAAAAAAAGTCAAGTAAGTAGATACATACCAAAGAAAGGGTCTTTGGGACTTAACCTTTCTATGTGCCTCTGACTGATATGTCTGCATTCTACCTTTAATTTGATGCATAAGTTTATTTGGGTTCTCTTAGAAGCATATCCAAAGAAAAGAATTTGAGTGCAAGTAATTCTGTGAGGGACGTGCAGGGGACAGCTATAAAGAATTTGGGATATGTTAGAGGGAAGAGAAGTAGTAAATGGAAGTGTGCTACTAACCCAGCTATTCAGTGAGCAGCTGGAGCTCAATCCCTCTAGAATCTCTGGGGAATAGTGTAAAATATATGCCTCAGAATTATCCCTAAAGAGAGCTGAGATAAAGAGGTATTTGTATTCCAGCCCTCAAGAGTCATTGGTTGTGGAGGATTTTACTTCCTTAGCCTGTATGGCCTGTCATGTGCAGGCAGCTTGTTACAGGAGTGAGAGCACTCAGTAAAGTTTGTATGCAGATACTGACAACTGTAAGTATATAGAGAGTGCATGTCACTAAAGGTACTGGGGTTATTGGTGTAGCATTGACAATATATGTTAAACATAGGTTGGCTGCATGTAGAAGTCTGGCTTAGTACAATTATTTTTCATAACTCTGAAAATATTATGCATACAAGTTATGAAATATTATATGATTTCTATTTCTTTATAGTTACACTTTTATTTTTTCCCTTTAATAACATCTTATTTTTCATGGCATTCTAAATTTTTATTTTTAGTCATATATCTAGTTACGGTTATTTTTATTTATACTCACCATTCCTTGAGGCTTTTTTATTCTTATGTAAAAGAATCATGCTAAGCACCTTAAAGACTCAAGCTCTCATTGGCTCTGACCCATTTTCTTTCATTACACTTGTTACTTTTTTCTTTCCTTTGCTCTCTTTCCCATTTAAGGGTGCACTATGTTAGATATTCATGCTATATGCCTACTTTTTTACCTCTTAACTGTCTCACTTTAATATTTGTTGTATGTTTAGGAAGATTAATTTTAACTCGAAACCTTAAATTAATTTTGAAAATTAATTTTAATTTGCAGTCTTATTTTATGTGGCCATTAGTTCTTGGGGTTTTTTGTTTTTTGTTTTTTTTTTTTTGCCTACAAAATCTTTTAAAATATTTTGGAAGGTATTTGTGAGAGTCCTATTTATTTATAAACAGAGTCTCACTGTCACCCAGACTGGAATACAGTAGCATGATCATAGCTCACTGCAACTTCAACTTCCAGGGCTCAACCTGTCTCCATACTTCACTTTCCTGAGCAGCTGGGACTACACATGTTCACCATCACACCTGGCAAATTTTAAAAATGTTTGTAGAGATGGTATCTCCCTATGAATTTATTTTATTTGTATGTTACCTTCATTAGCCTTAATTATCTCACTTTCTTCCAGGGTAAGATATTTTTGTCCTCTTCTTTAATGATTTTCAGGTTTTTGTCAACACATTGCAATTTTTGGTATTTAGTCATATTCATAATACCAAGATTGAGAGCCCTGCTTGCACGGACACAGAATGTTAACTGACCAGCTACATGTTAGTGGGTGATTGAATGAATTTTACATTATTATTGGGGATATTTAATTGCTCTGTAATCCACATAAGCTGTACTACTCCTTATAATATTTTTGTTCTACTTTTCTGTAGAATATTCCACCAGTTTTATGCCTCTGAATATCAACTTATTAGTGTCTCTGAGCATAAAAATACAGAAGAGGAAACAGAAAAAAATGAGAGCCTAATTCCTTTTTATATACAGAATTTTAAATGGCTATAAAAAGAACCAAGATGCTATACCTGTGCCCCTAATACTAAAAAACTCTGTCTCTGTGGTCATCCTGAACAGTTCAGCTTCCAACACAATTAAAAGCCCTGGAAAAGCTCTGTATTTTTAGGCTATGTTTCATTAAGAATATTTGTTTATATTCTTACCATGTTCTAGAAATATATAAAAATTCCTCAGCAAATTTTCATTGTGATTTTATACATTATTTAATTATTTACTATTATTTTAATGCAGCTTCCAATGGGGGAAAGTGCCAAGTTCAATGTGACTTTTCAGTTTGAATTTTTAAAGGAAAAATATTAGTATCTGATAAAAATGTAGCATTACTCAATGAAGAAGGCTACTTTTATTTATTCATCTTAATAACTGAACTAGACAATCAAAAACACAGCTTTTAAAACAGCCGCTCACAATATTTGCTTTCATGTTATGCATTTGATTTCAATTTCAAATCGATCATTTTTTCCTTTAAAGCATACTTTTTTAAACTCTTTAATTCCCACAACAGCAAGAACTTAAGAGTGACTATGAATCCATATCAAAATGTCCCTTTGTGGACATTTTATTCCATAATATATAAAGGAATGCAGCCATAAATCCTTCTTTAAATTACAATGTGCTGCTAAGACTTTGTATCACTGAAGTTTACTTTTGGTAAAACTAGGAGGATTTTGGTATCTTTGCAAACTTAATGAAGAGATTGTTTGTCTTCCAATTAATGGGATCCAGAAAGTAAAATGTAAAGCCTCTTGAATTTAATTCCATTTATATCTAAATAATATAAATTAAAATTAATACAATACTAATGGAAATCTTAAAAACCCTCTATATCCTGGTAACAAATCAAATAAATTGTGGACAAAAAAGACAGTTTATTTGCATTGGCCTCTATGAAAGAACATTTATTTTCTCAAAATAATTTTCTTTTTCAAGCAGTCTTTGAACACATCCATGCTTTTAGGTGCCTCATAGTTCAATGTATCTTCAATGAATGACATTTTGAAACTCTAAAGGAGTCATTCTTTTTAAAAATCAGGTATTTATATTACTGTAATACATTTAAGAGGTACATTGTTTGAATAGATGTTACTATAGTATATCTAATCAGTTTTTCTTCTCTACTTTTTATCCAAAAATGGAAACCAACAGTTACCTCCAAATATAATATTTCACTTTTTCCCAACACTTATCCTTGTTCTGCGAAAACTATTTTGGGCAATTTTGGAAACTATTATGTAGTCAAGGTTTCATCAACCTGCGTTATGTCTTCATATGTTGAACTAAAGATTATATGTGTTAAAATTAAAGAAGCTCACAGGTGTATCCATTCCTTCCCATGATTTATGATGATAGACTAAGTTAAATTGACCTCTTCAAATCATCATTTTTTTAATCTCAAACTTGAGTGAGTAATATATACACCATGCTTTGTTGTGAGAATTAAATGAACTAAAACCTAAACACACAGTATGCACAAAATGAATTTTAGTTAGGAATTTTACCAACAATTTCCAGAATTTTTTAATGCTTTATATTATGATTTCCCATTTCAGTTGTACAAGTTTTATAATAAGAGAAACTAAACATACAAAATAGATTTAAAGTTAGATTTGAGTTGACATTCTAGCACCACTGTTTTGCATGGGCAAAATTGCAAGGTAAGGCATAGGACCTCTTTAATATTTAGATTTCTAAAACCTTTAAAATCTCTAATAATACCGACTTTATTGAATAATAAAACCCAATTTACTGAATTGGTTATTATTACGGAATTGTGATAATTAAATAAGAAAGCACATAACAATGGAAAGCAAAAAGATTGAAATACAGTAAATACTTCAGCATGTTGTTAATTAGAGGTTGACACCAACTGAGTTGCATCATTTAGCTTCGGAATCTCCTTGATATCCTAAAGGAACTTTTTTTTTTTTTTTTAACAAACTAAACATTCAATTATACATATATAGTAGCATGTTTGTTTATTTATTTATTTATTTATTTTTGAGACAAAGTTTTGCTCCTAGAATGCAATGGCACTATCTCGGCTCACCACAACCTCTGCTTCCTGGGTTCAAGCAATTCTTCTGCCTCAGCCTCCCAAGTACCTGGGATTACAGGCATGCACCCCCACACTCAGCTAATTTTGTATTTTTAGTAGAGACAGGGTTCTTCCATGTTGGTCAAGCTGGTCTTGAACTCCCGACCTCAGGTGATCCACCTGCCTTGGCCTCCCAAAGTGCTGAGATTACAAGCATGAGCCACTGCACCCAGCCTATAGTAGCATGTTTTTAAGTAATGGTAAATTAATACCTTACAAATCAATTTCTAAACTGTTTACTACACTTGTGCCTTAATATATGCAGAAATATATGTATTTCCCAACCCCAATACATTATCAAATAATGCATACCAAAAATTATTTTAAATAATCTAAGAGAGAAAATGAAACTGATATTCTAAAGGATTACTTAACCCAATAAAGTTTAAAAATGTGAATGTTCATTGTGAGCAATCACTTTAGGGACATACATACTAAGCAATACAGGAAAAAGAGTCTTCTCCATTAGTAGATCCAAATTATAAACTATTACATATGTTGGAATTGTTCACATCATTAAGGAAAAAATATAGGTTTTTTACAACCTAATTTAAACTGCATGCTAATTTTCTCACTTTTTGTTCATAGCATTTTTCTTTTTTAGCAAGCTCCTCTTTAAACTACTTTTTGTAGTCATAAAAATAGATCTGAATAGTCTAATGTAAAACAGTTGATGTCATTAACAAGTTGTTTTATTTTATATTAAGCACTTCCAGGGAGTGGAAAATGGGAAGAATGGAAAATAGGAGGAATGGAAAATGGGAGGAAAAGAACAATGAAGGAACATCATCAAAATTCAAGACTGCAGAGATGTAAAGGCTGTAATGAGAGACCTCAATCACTTGTCCTTTGTTAATAGCTTCAGCCTTGCTCAGATTTATGAGGCTTTACAGAACTACATGATAATATTTTTTTCTCTTCTTCCCTAGATTTTAAAATATTTTCCTATGTGATGTCATAAAATAATGGTTTTCTAGTGTCATACTGTGGGGCTGTCTATGCATGTCTATGCTGTCTAATGCATCTACAGGCTCAACACCATGGGGAAGCTGCTAAAGCTTGGGGCTTGCACACTCTGAAGCCACAGTCTGAGCTATACCTTGGCCCTTGTTTAGTCACAACTGGAGCAGCTGGGACAAGAGAACCAAGTCCCTATACTGCACACAGCACTGGGAACCTGGCCTGGCCCACGAAATCATTTATTCCTCCTAGACCTCCAGGCCTGTGATGGGAGGAGCTGCCTGAAAACCTCTGACATACCCTGGCGACATTTTCCCCATTATTTTGGAGAATAACATTTGGCTCCTCATTACTGAGTCAAATTTCTGCAGCTGGCTTCAATTTCTCCTCAGAAAATGGGATTTTATTTTCTATTGCATTGTCAGGCTGCAAATTTTCTTAACTTTTATACTCTGCTCCCCTTGTAAAACTGAATGTCTTTAATAGCACCCAAGTTACATCTTGAATGCTTTGCTGCTTAGACATTTCTTCCACCAGATACCCTAAATCATCTCTCTCAAGTTTAAAGTTCCACAAATCTCTAGGGCAGGGGCAAAATGCCACAAGTCTCTTTGCTAAGACATAACAAGAGTCACCCTTGCTCCAGTTCTCAACAAGTTCCTCATCTCCATTTGAGACCACCTCAACCTGCATTTCATTGTTCATATCATTATCAGCATTTTTGTCAGAGCCATTCAATAAGTCTCTAAGGAGTTCCAAATTTTCCCACATTTTCCTGTCTTCTACTGAGCCTTCCAAACTGTTCCAACCTCTGCCTGTTACCCAGTTCCAAAGATGCTTCCCCATTTTCAGTTGTCTTTTCAGCAGTGCCCCACTCTACTGGTACAAATTTAGTGTATTAGTCTGTTTTTTTTGCTGCTGATAAAGACATCCCTGAGACTGGACAATTTACCAAGGAAAGAGGTTTAATGGAGAACTCACAGTTCCATGTGGCTGGGGAATTCTCAGAATCATGGCAGAAGGTGAAAGGCATGGCTCACATGGCAGCAGACGAGAGAAGAGAGCTTGTGCAGGAAAACTCCCCCTTATACTAATCATCAGATCTCATGAGACTTACTATCATGAGAATGACACTGGAAAGGCCTGACCCCATGATTCAATTACCTCCCACCAGGTCTCTCTCACAACACATGGGAATTCAAGATGAGATTTAGCTGGGGGCACAGCCAAACTATATCAGATTAAGAAGAGAATGTCTTTGGCCTGTTTTTCTGATTATTGCCTAATATTTATGTTGCATATTCTAGTAGATTAACATGCAAACATGTAACTTTAAACTTTATGAAATAAAAAGTAGAAAAGTAACGGGAAAATCTAAATATGACATCAGAGCTTTCTTAGTGACACCTCAAGTCAACGTTAGAAATATGAGTACACTGTAATAGTGAACGGAAGGGTTTCAAATGCATTTAATTTATTTAAAATATTATTTAAAAATAAAATCATTTGGTGATAAAAACACCAGGGTTTTTTTGGTTGTTTGAGTGGTTTGTTTTGTTTTGTTCACTCACAGTACATTCCTTACAAAGTACTCAGACCCTAGAGTCTATCTTACAAGACTGTACAAAAATAGAAGATTTTAAAACTACCAGTGATAGGTGCAGTGCATTCTAGAAAAGAAATAATATAAAGTTTAGTTCCATATCTCACTATCTTGCCATAAAGACAAACTAAAATAAAATATATTTTTTAAGAAAATACAAAAATGTGAGGCTTTTAAACAATGTATAAAAGGCATTATAGCACAGTGTACATCACTTCTTATTTTAAAAAACATAAGCTTTAATTTTAATATTTTAAATTATGTAAATACCACTTATTTTATTGAAGGAAATAGTGTAGATTACTAAAAATTAGAGAAACAGTATACAAATTTTATTGCTACAAGAAATGGGTATATAAAAATGTACTTAAAAGAAATGCAAAATCAATAAAATAGTCCATAGTTAAAGTTCATATATCAATGCATATTTAACATCCTTTCCACTTATATACTGAGGATTATTTACCAGCAACTATCGAAGATAACACATCTCATATTATCCTATCTACAAAATACAATCATTAATATTTTTATTGTGCACAGTGTGAGCACAAGTCAAGATCCTCCAATCAGTAGCCTTACATTGTAAATAGAGTTTGTAAAACCTTTCAATCATTCAAAGTTCATTTAAGTAATTATTTCTATTCTAGACCATTTTTAGCATGATACTACTAAATACAAGCAAATTTTATGACAATGTTAATGTATTTTTAAAATTTGAATATAAGCAAATGCACAAAATGAATGTACAGAGCTATGCATTTTAATAAGATAAATATTTCTGTATTTAGCTACCACAAATGTCAGGAAATAGCACATTACTAGCATGCAGACACATTACCACGTTGTACCAAAATGCATGAGAAGTTTGGGAAAGCTTTGGGAAAGGAACCCATGCTAAGAGAAAGCAACCATCACAGGGTTGAGCAATAATGGTAGTCGAGATCTCTCTGTCAGATAATAGGAAAAAAAGAGCAGGATCAGATTTTATAGCTTAGAATTTCATGCAGAAGTGTTTAGATTTTTTGGTGAACTCAAGTGTTTTGCAATCTCTCAAGTACCCATGTCCTTGAAAAATTATTTTGTTCTCTATTTTATTGAAATGTATTATAACTGCAAAACATGAAGTTAATCTTCTTAAATATGAACCGTTCTACTTTATTATTGGTATAGGAGTAACCTATGTACAATGAAGAAATGCAAATGATGTTGAGATTCAAAATATAACATTGTCTAAATTAGGAGTAACCTTTATTTTCAACTCAGACTGTGTACCATTGTACTAAAGCAGGGGAAAGCCTAATTTAGTACGGATACACTCAGTAATAGACCCCTGAATTTGCTTCAAGCAGCAGAAGGCAGAGAGTTTGTTGTTGTTACTTCTTTTGTTTGTTTGTAAGCCTTGATTCGTGTTTGTCTGTTGTTTTCTTTTCAAAAAAAATTTTTTTTTTCAGTATGAAGTGAAATCACAAGGCAGGCTGTGAAAAAACAAAAAGGCTGGATGTGCAGAGGCCTGCAGAGGACAGAAGGCCCTTCCAGTGCCTAGGCGTTTATCCAGGAAGGACTGTTAGGTGTCATAGGTCATAAATGAAGAATATGTATTAAAATCACTGTAGCCAAAATGTTATATTGTGAAGTGAGTCATTTTATTACAAATGTTGCCCCCTCAATGTTCAACTCTGTAGCTTGATGTGGATAAAATGTCTTTTTCTCCTTGAGATTTTTGTGCTTATGCATTCTGGAGAACTGATAAAATCAGAGTCCTCAGAAAAATAGCGTATCTTGACAACCACTCAAGTTGTTTCATTTCTCTATTGTATCTGTGTATATATGTTTTTAAAATAATCATTAAATCCTGTAATACTGCTATTTTATTGAAGATTGGAGATAAAACTTAGAAATATATTCCTAATGAACAGAGATTCTAAAATGCCAGTTAACTTACTTACCATGTCAAAGCAACTAAGCAAAAGGAAATAAAAACCTGCTTTGTTTTTCCATCACCCACATATCCGTCCTCCTTCTCCACCATCATTTAAAGTCTGTTTCTGTTCACTTTGACATAGAAGCAGGAGTGAGCAATATGCCATGTTATTAATGTGTTTACAAACTATTTTATAATTAGTAATAGTTTCATATCTAATTTTCTAAAATACATATTTCCTTATTTTTATCTTAGAAACAAAGTTATTTCTTCCAGAAAATAGAAATGTTCTATGTAAACATTTAAACTTTCTCATTAAATTATATATCAGTCTTCTCAAAATTGAACTTTATTTAATCATGATCTGTCTTGATTTCACAACTTTCTTCCTTAGGAAATTATTCTTTACTAAAACTAAAAATCATTCAAAAATTCAAATCAATTTTGAAAATATTATATCTCGTAATAATTTCCTGAACTAAAAAAATAACAATAGAGATACTTTCATCAGTACATGGTAAAGCAAGCAGTAATCTGGCAGGGTGATTATAGTATATTCTAGGAACCAAACATCATTTCTACATCCTAAATTATTCTTTGTTCAATGATTTATTATTGGGAGGACTCAAATAAAGATAATAAAATTTTGAAGACTTCTTAATTATATGTATATGTAATGGATGTATATATGTATAAACCATACATATTAAAGCATCATCAGGTATAAATATTTTTAAATCTCTACATTATTTTAGCATAATTAATTTTTGTACTTTATTATTATGTATGTTATTATATTTAAGACGTAAAAATTTAAAGTTTTAGCTTCAAATTATTTTGAAAAATGGGAGGGGGTTGTATTTCACATCTTTCACATCAGGTATGTCATCTCAAGACAAGTTTAACAACAGAAAAATTGTTCACATTTCCAAAGAATTTGTAACACTGAAAAGAAAAAAAAAATGTGTATGTACTCAACACTAAAATTCGTTTGAGATCAAATATCATACTTTTACTATTTTTTGATAGCTAGAAAGGTAATAGTAATGCATTTGTCTATTCATTTAATTCTTTAGGCAATATTACTAATAACATGGTTTGCTTTTCTCCTTTGCACAGTAATGCAGTATAAAAAGCTAAAACTGTGCAAGTGATATTAATAATCAATTGAAAAAATTTATTTTTCTGTAAACTTTAAAAATTTTGAAAACGTTAACAATTATATTACTTTTGAATTTATAAGACAATGAAAAAATAGAGTAAAACTAGTATGTATTTCACAATAATTTAAAAATAAACATTTAGAATTAAATATTTTATTTGTTTGTAAACATTTTTCCAGAGTCCTCAGAAAAATAGCCTAAACATTATTTAAGCAATATTTATTTGTTTAAACAAAAATAGTTTAAACATTGTTTGTCTTCTTTTAATTGCATAAGTTTCTATAGAGAGAGAGATTCGTTTCTATGCCTTGGCTGGTGAATTGGAGTCTTCTCTACATTTATATTAGCTCTCAGCATTTTGTCCTTTGCAGTGTCTACATCAGGCAATATATCTGAGAGTTCCTTTAATGTAAATATTTGTCCCTTGTCACTTCCTCTGAGAAATTGTCATCCTTTAGTCACAAACAGCTGTCTTAACAAATCCTTGGAAGCTGATTGCAAATTTTACATCAATATCTTTATCTGGAGTGGTAACTTCACCAGATACCTTAAAATTAATCAGTGCAGTGCACTCCATCTTCCAACATTATGAGATCAATTTTTATTCATAGTAAAGATTTTCCACAGTCTCTTTGTAATTACCATATTCTTTCAGTGTGGTAGCTAACCCCAATGTTTTGGGCAAGATTTTTACAAAGAGATTGGAATTGTATTTCCTTTTTTAATGGAAATATTTAATCCAAAATAGAAATAAATATTTCATTTCAACCATAAACGGGTTTCTGTTCCTAATGTAGTTTTCAGAAGTTGAAGCACCTTTGTCCTGTGTTTTATATTTATAATAATTTTTCAACTCAGTCTATATCTTAACTTCATGAAGGCCAGGGTCAATTCCTATATTTGCTTTGTTGTTGCCATTTACAAATCTTCTAATCACATTCAATTTCACTACCAGAATTGTCACATTTATTTCTTTGCTATACTTTCATCTTTGTTGGTCAGCTTCTTCTTTTGCTACCCCATTTCTATAAAGTGTCACATAAGTTTATCACTAGGAGTCAGAGAGTCAATGCAACTACATGCTTTGCTGTAGGTATATGAACTGAATGTTAGACTTACAGTGATCATTCTTCAAAAAAAAATGGATAGAACATAAATAATCATGGATAATGAGAGACATATGCTATTTACGTAGTGCTATTTAGACTTAAGGTCTAGCAACAAAGTCCATGTTTTATGGGATTAATCATAGATAACATACTATGATCATATAATTTTGATTCTTCATTCTGTTAATGTGATGTATCATACTTACTGATTTACAAATGTTGAACCATCCTTCCATCCAAGGGATACACCACACTTAATCATGGTGTATGATCTTTCTAAGGTCCTGCTGAATTTGGTTTGTGCGTATTTTGTTGAGGATTTTTGTATATGTTCATTAAAGATATTAGCCTGTGATTTTGTTTCCTTGTAGTGTTCTTCCTGGCTTTGGTGTCAGGATAACACTGGCCTCATGAAATGAGCTCAGAAGTGTTCACTCCTCTTCATATTTTTAGAAAAATTGAGAAATGATCTATTGTAATTATTCTTTAAATTTTTGGTAGAATTCATCAGTGAAGCCATCAGGGCTGGCCTTCTTTTTGATGAGAGATTTTCATTACTGACTCAGTCTCCTTTCTCATTATTGATGTGCTCAAATTTTCTATTTCTTCATGATTTGGTCCTCGCAGATTGTATGTTTCCAGGAATTTATTCATTTCTTCAAGGTTATCCAGTTCACTGGTGTACAATCTTTTATAATAGTCTCTCACAATTCTTTGTGTTTCTGCGCTACCAGTTTTAACACATTATCTTTCATTTCACATTTTACTTATTTAAAAGACTTCTCTCTTTTTGTTAGCCTACCTAAAGGTTTGCTAATTTTATTTATCTTTCCATAACCCAAACTGTAAGTTTTGTTAGTCTTTTATCTTGTTTTTCTAGCCTCTCTTTTTTTTTTTTTTTTTTTGTATTTTTAGTAGAGATGGGGTTTCACCATGTTGTCCAGGCTGGTCTAGAACTCGTGACCTTGTGATCCGCCCACCTTGGCCTTCCAAAATGCTGGGATTACAGTCATGAACCACTGCGCCCAGCCTCAAGTCTCTTGTTATTAATTTCTTCTCTAACATTCATTGTTGTTTTCTTCTGCTAACTTTGACCCTGGTTTATTATTGTTTTACAAAGTGTAAAATTATGTTCCTATGTTGATTTTTCCCTTTCTTCATGTAGGCATTTATTGTCATAAAATTTTATTATTGGAAACTATTATTTCTATAAAAATTTAAAAATATAACTACCATATGATCCAATACTACTACTTATAGGTATATATGCAAACAAAATATTATCAATATCTTAAAGAATTATCTATAACCCCATATTCATTGCAGCATTATTTTTTATAACTAAGATATGGAAACAACCTACGTGTCTGTCAATGGTTTAACAGATACAAAATTGATATAATGAAATATTATTCAACTTTTAAAAGTAAGGAAACTTTGCCTTTTGTGAAAACATAAATGAATATGAAGGACATTATGCTATGTGGAATAAGACAGACATAGTAGACAAATACTCCATGATCTTAATTACGTGTAGATTCTGAAAATGTTGAACTCAGAGAGCCACAGAATAGAAGAGTAATGACCCAGAAGAAGTTGGTGGGTGGGAAAATAGAAACAGATTGGTAAAAGGGAGCAAATTTCCAGTTATAAGATGAATAAGTTCTGACAACCTAATGTACAGCACAATGGCTATAGTTAATAATATTGTATTGAATACAGTTGGCACTCCATGTACACAAGTTCCGCATCCACTGATTCCACCAGGTACAGATGGACAATGCAGTATTTGTGTTAGGATTTCTGTGTCTGCAAGTTCTGCAGGGCCAAGTGTGGGACTTGAGCATCTGCAGATTTTGGTATCCCTGGAATCCTGGAAACAATTCCCTGCAGATACCTTGGGAGTGCAGTACTTGAAATTTGGTACTAGAGTAGATTTTAAGTATTCTCAGTACACACACAAAAACATTACTACGTGTGGTGGTGGATGTGTTAATAAGCTTGCTCATGGTAATTATTTCACAATATATATGTATATCAAAACATTACTTTATATACCTTAAATGTATACAAGTTTTATTTGTCCATTATGCCTCAGTAGATCTGTAAAAATATACACCACTATAAAGGAAATTTGAACTGTGTTTTGGGGGCCGGTGTTATTTAACTAAATTGTGGTAATTTATTTGTGCCTAACAGAGTTGTGCAAAGTGATGAATTCTGTATTTAATGATAATTCTAATTCCTCTATAAGCTTTATAATCAGTAGAACACAAGACATGCAAACAATTTAACCTAAAGTAGTTTATTAAGTTGTATCATAGAAATATTTACAATGAGCCCCCAAAATAAAAGATTCACTGTGTATGTAAAAAAAGTTTTGTAAAATGAAAAAAAGAATGTGATGTTTGAGAAGAGGCTTAAAAATAAATGAAACAATAGCATCAAACATTTCTATATCCAACTTTAAACATTGCTTAGAGCAATGGCAAAGCAGTTCTTAGTGGAAGCATCCTTGCACTGTCAACATCAAGATTAAAAAAAATCTCTAAGAAAGCATCTGGGAAATGCCAAGAGCGCATGACATCTAGTATCCAAGGTTTGAAGAAAAAGGAAGGATACTGAGATGAGTCCAGCTTTTTCTCGTGTTTATTCCATCAGGAAATTTAACAATATTAGATATAGGGGCTTTGAAACTACAAGATTAATTGAAAGAGTTGGCACGTGGCTATTCTTCCAGTGAGTTTTTCTTTATCTTCACACGGTTTGGGAGAGAATAAATGAGTATAGGGCCAATGCAGGTATGAGTTCTCTCCCATACACCCCAGGTAGGAACCTAAAAGTGAAATATTATTGAGGCTTTGCACTAGCAATGATAAAATATATGAGCACACATACTTGCCTGCAACTCAACTTCAAACAGCTCATTCCAAGACAAAGTTTCGGTGATCAGGTCATGCTCTGACAACCACATTGAAAAATTAAATTCTCTTCAGAATATAACATCAGCCAGAGCCTATGATACTGTGACAAATACGTTCTACAAAATATAGTATATCAAAATAAAATTTGTCTGTCATTAGACAGGAACAAATTGACTTAAAACCAAAATAAACAATATGAATAGAAAAAATATTGGAATTGAGTCACTGATTAAACATAATAAAATGTATACAAAATATCTTTATTTCATAGAAGACGTAATTATGGAAGTATAATTTTAAAATCATCAAGTAGACTTCTAGTTTTAGCACAAGAGTCCTGAGTGCTATGTAAAGTTTCATTCTAATCCAGAAAATAGGAAAAATAAATAAATTGAATGACTGTAAAATAACTTCGCATGAACACATTACAAAATTGGGGTCACAGGACAAAGTATCAAACCAAAATTTTATAGTGACAGATGTTTTCAGGGAGAAATGGGATCTGAACATATATCTACCTGGGGATGCTGCTGCTCAACACCGCATAAGCAGAAAGGGAAATAAAACTGGAGAAATTTAAAGGGATGCTGAGGACTGAATATGGACTGGCCTGTGTGAAGTCCCTAAGGACCACAGATACAGAGAGTTACCCACACACTTGCTGTCTACTCTTCTGGGAATACACAAATTTTTAAAAAGTTTATCGTGTAAAGAATACAGTGAAGGCGTATCCCACTCTCTGCTGCTGATAGGGAAATGGGGATGGCAGCCACTGTCAAACTTTGTCCCAACTCATCTCTACTACCTTCACTACAGAAATACACACAGACACACAGACACACACACACACACACACACACACGCCCACACACTCTATGTGGGGAAAAGGTCATTAAAATCGTATCCCAGAGGGCACTAGTCAAATTCCATTGCAGCGTGGTGGCATGGAAAAGGGAAAAAATGTCATTGAAATTCTCTACCTTGCATGTGTTACAAAAGCTTTAGTTAGCAGGAGCAAAGATATAAAATCCACCACCTGAATATGTAGTGGGAAACCCACTGCAGCTGGTGAAGGAAAAATAAGAAAAACTTTGAAGCTCTTCCCATGGGGCAAGAGCTAGAATAAGTATTTGTCATAGCATTACTTGTTGGCGGGTCGGTGGCACTTGTGAAGGCCACATTCCTAAGATAGGGTTCATAATGCATGAATAAAACTGAATTACAGAAAAGAACACAGAACCCTACCCCAACTAGTGCATTCTGTATTGCCACACTAACAAGTGTTGATTAAATATAACTGTGTGATATAGCTAAGAGGACTACAAGAGGCAGGCATTTTTTGAGAAGCAACACAAAAGGAATGCCCAAAGCTATTCTAGTGCTGAAATCCTGAGTCTATTTGACACATATAGAGTATTTTCTATTCAACTGTATATTACCACATTATCTCTATCAAGCCTCTGAAATGAAATAACAGAGGAATATTGATTTTTTAATTTGAAATTCACAAAAGAAACATCAAATATGTATAGACCCTCAGTGTTAGCTGAGTCGGACTGTGGTAGTTGCATTTTGGTAGAATTTGAAGGGGGAAGAAAGAGAACACATACTATCTCTTCAGTTTTGTGTCTCTGGATCCATTTAGGGTTTGTAGTTGGATTGTCCAAGACCACTGTGATTCTATTAAAAATAATGCAATTTGTTTCACCATATTAATCATTATTTAAAATAAAATAAATGTAACTATCCTTTTTGTTTCTGCTTTTAAAACGAAGGACTGCATTTATTCATGAAGCATTCCTGGCATTCATGGAAATAGGTTTTAATTTCCCCTTCAAAATTTATCTAATCAAACTATAATTCCTATTATGTTACTATATTTATATCTTTTTCATAATTTAATAATCATTCTGAATTTTTATAAAATCTAAAACACTGATTTGCTAGAAAATGTTAAAATGCATTCAGATATTTTAATATGGTCTCAAATTTTGGAAATCCATAAAAAATACATAGTTTGAAGAAAATCTTTCTTGAAAAATTGAATAAATTCATTATATATGTAGAAATATAATTTTAATTCATGTACAATATGAACATGAATTAAAGATGGAAAATGCAATTGGAAAACATAAATGTACATGCTTATACAGAGTTTCTCTAGGCAGTCAGGATGTTTATACTTAAGGAGAAAATTAGTTCATCCCAAACTATGTTGCTATTAAATTACTTAAAATTAAAAGTATAATCTGTCTTCTGTAGTTATGTAAAAATAAGAAAGCAAATGTTCATTGATAAAAAATATAACCTTACCAATTAAAGATAGAGCACACAGATCTCAAAATATATTGCATGGTGCTAATGAATGAATTTTGGGAAGAGATACATTGACTGTTATCTTTTTAAAAATTTTTTTTCAGCATACAAATGAGTGGGAACTCATATGTGAGTGAATCTTGAAAACATGGTGAAACAAAAGGAATTTATTATTATTACTTATTATTCCTAATTATAATAATTATTATAAATTATTATTATGTTCTATCTCTACAATTTGCCCTCTGATGCATTCAAACACCTTAAATGGGCTCTTCCCCTATAATCACCTTCATTTGCCAGGTCACTAAGTAAATGAGATGTATTTATGCATGTATGTGTGAGTTTTGGGGGTGGAGTTAGACACAACTTTATTATTGCAATGAATATACTCCTTATTTCTTGCAAACAAAGAGAAAAGGTTACATATTTGTTGAATATCTCATAGTTCTCTTTAAGCTCTATTCACTCATAATCTATAAATTTGTTTGTTTTTCTTCTGATATTTCTGAAGAAATACCAATACTCCTTTTCATACGCTAACCAGAGTTTAAATATAAGTTAACATCATTACCCTTATTTCTTTAAAAAAATTTATTTCTCATCAAAATGCAGTGAGTATACTTTAAGGTAATTGTTTCAAATATTCTGTTATCAATGTTATATTTTTGACACTTATTATTTCTGAATATTTTATTTCTAAACATTCACTATTCAACAATCTCTTGTGCAACTGAAACATATTTTGTGTAACTTTATAGAAAATGCTATCAAATGTCAGTACTTCAGGCTATAGATGTAGTTGGGAAGTTAAAATCAAGTATTTAGAAGCATATGAACTTATAATATGAATATAATTATAATTATTCATGATAGTTGATAAATTATTGGTGATACAGTTTAATTTATGAAAAATATTAAAAATTATATTTTATTATCTGAGGACTCTCATCAATTTTTCATGATTTTTGAATTTACAACGGGCTTAAAATGTCATAAACTTGTTAAAGACTCATTATTTTCAATAAGAGTTGAGTGAGTTAAATTCAGTAGATAGTCAAATTTTCATTATCTTTTTTAAGGTAGTCTGTAAATAAACAAATGTGCAATTTATAAAACCAAAGCTAATTTTTCTTCAACGTTAGGAGACTCTTCAAAGTTAGAATTACTAAACACTGGGCTTCATCTTTTGAGTTCTGGGTCAGAATACTTGGGAAGTCTCAAATCTTAGAAATCATAGAAACCAATTAATTCATGTTGTGCAATCATTAACATCCTCATGCTCTGTCATATGTACAAATTGATAATTAAGAGACAAATCACCCTCTAGCTGAAATTTTTAGACCAAAACTCCCAAAGTGCAGGAATCATAAATAGAACTTTAAGTATTTCCTATATAATAAACTTCAGTCTTATTATGATAGACTATTTTAAGTGTAGTTTAAATCATGTCTTATTAATAATGGATTTTGCTTAAATATCTGGGATATTGTTTTTATTATTTATATTTTTATTCTTTATTTAGACATTTTGTTCATTAATTCCTTTTTTAAAAATATTTTCTCTGTTTATTTAAGAAATATTATTTATTGGCTGCTCCGTCTATGGAGTAGCCATTCTTTTATTTCTTTACCTTCTTAATAAACTTTCTTTCATGTTAAAAAATTTAAAAAAAAATTGTTAATTGAGTAACAGAAAAAAGATATTAAACAAGCAGTTATGAGTGTAGCTTGTTCTACATATACTGATATTGCGAGCAATAATTATTACTCTTAATACTATATGACAAGAGAAGTTTCAGCACCTACCTTCAACCTAAGCCACTCCATCCGAGCTTGTCATTGCTAAACAATTTTCAAAATATGTATTATCTAACTACAAGTAGGGATTTCAAATACATAGAGAAAAATGAATTGTATTATCTTCTGAGAATGTTCTCACGAAATGGTGCTCAACTGTTGTGACCTATAAGACAATAAAGTGGGAATAGCATCTGGTTTACAAGCAGTATGGGCTAGTTTCATATCTGTGAACTATTAACTAAATAATTCAGAGAATTTTTCTCTAAAATAGAAATGATGAAAAAAAGTTACAAGGATATGGCTGAAAAATCTCTGCCCAAACTATATAGCAATATATGAAATAAAAAGCTGTAATTTTCAATTAGATGAACTGAATAAGAATCATCAGCTAAAGCACTTCAAAGACAGCATTGTCCATTAGACTACTTACTTACTACTTACTCAATATACAGCAATAATATTTCTATTACTTATAGGAGGAATTACTAGAGCTTGTCAGTAGAAAATTCGATTGGCATTAGATAGTAAAAATCTAGACTCTGATCCATACAACATTAATTAACAGAAAATGGAAAATAATTTATTAATGAAAATTATAAATTACTTTCACTCATTATTAGATTCACATTTTCCAAATAAACTAATATTTTAAATTTTGTTAGTATTTTTAATTTTAAGATTATTAACATTGTGAATCACTTCACCAAATAAACAAACCAAAATGTTTGACTGCTAATAAACACCTCATTCTCCCAGCTATTGCATGGATTGTGTTTTTTCTTTCTTTTCCTTCCTTCCTTCTTTCCTTCCTCTCTTTCTTCCTTCCTTCTTTCCTTTATTTTTCTTTTCTTCTGTCTTTATTTTTTATTTTATTTTATTATTTTTAACTTTTATGGACATATATTAATCGTAAATATTTATGGGGTACATGTGTATTTTGATACAAGCATCCAATATGTAATGATCAAATCTGGGTAATTGGGATATCCATCCTTCAAGCATGTATCATTACTTTGTGTTGGGAATGTTCCAAATTGATTTTTCAAGATATTTTGAAATATGTGATAAATTGTTTTTAATTAAATTGACCCTACTGTGCTACCAGACACTAGATCTTATTCCTTCTAATTATCCTTTATCCTATTATTCCCTCCCCATTATACTTCCCAGCCTCTAGTAACCACCATTGTATTCACTACCTTCATGAGATCAAATATTTTTTTTAGCTACCACAAATGAGTGAGAACATATAACATTTCTCTTTCTGTACCTGGCTTATTTCATTTAAATTAATGTCCTCCAATTTCAACTATGTTGTTGCAAATAACAAGATTTCATTTTTTTAAGTGGTAGAATAATATTGTGTGTGTGTGTGTGTGTGTGTGTTTGTGTGTGTGCGTGTGTGTATACGAAACTTTTCCATTCATTTGTTGATGGGTACCTAAGTTGATTTCATATCTTGGCTATTGTTAATAGTTCTGCAATAAACATGAGAGCTCAGATACTCTCTCTTCGATATACTGATTTTATTTTTTTCTTTTTTACAAATTAGATTGCTTTTATTTTAGTCAGTTTATCAGCAAATCATTGCTTCTGTCCCCAACCCCATCCCTTCCAATCTTCCTTCTTCCTCCCTCTCTCTCAGAGGGAAATAAACACAGACAGGAATCACAACAGATTCCTTAATATTGAATTAAAGGAAGAGACTTATCTTAAACAATAACTACTCTTTGTGTATAAAATTACCTGTGGAAAATTAAAAGATAGATGTCAGATATTATGGTTTGGCTGTGTCCCCACCCAAAATCTCATATTGAATTGTAATCGCCATAATCCCCATATGACAAGGGCGTGTCATCAGTTCACGGGGGTGGTTTCCCCCATGCTGTTCTCCTGAGAGTGAGCGAGTCTCAGGAGATCTGATGGTTTTATAAACACCTGGCATTTCCCTTGCCTGCACTCACTACATCCTGCCGCCCTATGAAGAAGGTGCCTTGCTTCCCCTTTGCCTTCTGCCATGATTGGAAGCTTCCTGAGGCCTCCCGGGCCATACTGAACTGTGAGTCAATTAAACTTCTTTCCTTTATAAATTACCCAGACTTGGTTATTTCTTCATAGCAGCATGAGAACAGACTAAGACAACAGGTGATATTAACTTATCGTAAAATTCTTAAATAATTTTGGGCATTTTCTGCTATAATATTTGCATTCTATAAACAGGATTTAATTGCAATATATAATAAACAAGTTAGATATTATCTGCCTCCACAGTATATTTTATTTACATTTTGGGGTTTGTACAAAAGCTTCCTAGTATTTTGATCGTCCTTAAAATGAAATGGATTTGGTCAGTTTCAAGGTTGCACCACTATCACCATGAGCTCAAGGCCAGCACCAGCAGAACTGACCTGAAAGGAATCTGGTGATTTCCTTTCTTTTAGATATATACCCCATAGTGGAATTATTGGATCAAATGGCACTTCCATTTTTTATTTTTTTAGGAACCTCCATACATTTTTCCACAGTGGCTGTATTTTCTGACTTTCTATTTTTAAATTACCTTTTTGGTAAATGTATTTGTACATGTCTTTATCTCATCTTTTATGTTTGATAAACATTACCACTTTAAAGTTTCATCAAATTTTCATCATTCTATTGAACAACCACAAAATACTATTTGACATGACATTGAAAAACTAGGCCAGACACGTAAAAAAAAAAAATTGTCTGAGGCTCATTCTTATTCCGCCTATCTGTATTAATCCCGCTGTCACATAAGACATTTGAAACTAACAAGATATTAGATGTTTGCATGAGCATGCAAAACAAAAAAAAGAAAAGAAGAGAGAAAAGGAAGAAAGGGAACAGGGAAGGAGGATGTGAAGAAAAGGGGAAACAGAAGGAAAAGGGAAGAAAATGTTCTGAAATTATTTACCTTTGCATGCCAAAATCATAGCAGGCTAAAATAATCTCCCAAAGTGGACAAAAATATCAAACCCTAATCAAATTCAAGAGACATGTTACATTAATGCTTTTATCACATGTATTCAATAGTGTTTTCTCTTGAGGAATAAAAACCCTTCTAATTGCAGACAATTTTCTTTTAATATTTAATAAATGAAATTGCAAAAGCAAATTGACTTTTTAGTTCAGACTGACTGCAATGTTGTATAGAAAATGTTCTCCTGAATTTTAGTTCCAGAATGATTTCTTTTTATTTTACAAACCCCAGAAATGAAACATGAGAATGTCACAGGCAGTCTCAGAGACTAGCAAAGGGAATAGGCTAATATGCAGAGTCTTCCGGGGAACCTGTTCAGTTACTGTTGCCATTGACTATTAACCATAGCCTCCTTTCTACTCAGTGGCCTTTTTCCAAAAACATAGTTTTAGTTAATGTGCCTACTCCTCAATTTGGCACACATTAAAAGCAATTACCACACCCTTCTCTCATTTAAGTTCTCATTTAGGTCCCTCACAAAGGTTTATTGAAGGAAGCTCACTGATTTTTCCCCCGCAAAGAATTAAATGTTTATCCTTTACTCCTATAAACCAGATCTATCTTGACCATAATAAAAAATTTAAAATCATAGACCTCTAATCTCCAAAGGGTAAAAGACTTTATTTCCAGCAAAGGTAAGGAACTAGTTCTATGAAACATATAACTCAATCATCTAAATTGTCTCCAGAACAAAATGCATGCTAGAAAATTAGATTTCAATATCTTACTTGCTAATCAGTTTTCTAAACTTTATTATTGTTATCAGAGAACATGAGTTTTAGATAATGAATTTTCTCAGATATATGAAGTCATCTATTTTTATGACCCAAACACAATACAATTTGGAAGTGATTTCAAAATTGATATCAGTTCCATAAAAATTAATCTGACAAATTTCAAAGTATATATATATATAGTGATGTATACAATTTTTAGGTATCTCCTCCCAAAGTGACACATCTTTTTGACCAACGAAATTTCCCCATCAACTTATCACTAAGTATTGATCAAGACCAAACATATTTAATATGTCTCATAAAACTACATAGTCTACACTACTGACATTATCAGTCTTATTTCACACTTGCATCCTTATTGTTTCCTATGCCAGAACTACTAAAAGTCGGTACCTAAGCCATAATGCATGATGTGGTGATCTATGGACTTTTTTTTCCTGCCAGGCATAGTTATACTATTTCTTTTTCTATTTAACTCACCTTTTCAGGTTTAAAACACTCCTAATACTGAAGTCTTTTATTTAATCTATTTATCAAAGTTTCATTTTACATATACATGTATATTTATGTATGTGTATATATATTAATATTTATATATGTGTATATTTCTATTAGTATTTATATATGACTATCAAATTTCTATAATTTTATTTAAAAACACAAGTATATTAAACATCTTCTGTTTGTTGGGCACTACACTTGGAAGTAAAAATATGTGATAAGAATCTCTGGCCTCATGTAATTTTCATTACTGCAAAAGTGGTAAAGCAGTATATAAGTAATTGATATGTTTTCTTAAATATATACTATTAATATATGGTTCTTTTTATCTCTATTTTTGTGATTAATTTTTCTATGCTGCACATTTTTGTCACTGCTAAAATTTAAAATTTGTTTTCTCCCTTAATTTATTAAATACATATTTAACACTTAATATTGCTAGGAACTAATGCCAAATGCTTTATCTACAATAATTCATTAATTTTTACAATTAAATAATGAGGCATTAATATTATTCACCTCATTGCGCGGATGAGAAAATTATAGCAAATGACAGCTAAACCATTTTAGAAAACCAATCAACAAATAAATGGTAGAAAGATTTTTATTCAGACAATTTTAATCCAGTTCTTGCCCTCCTAACCTTTATGCTAGATATCCTGAAAATGCTTGTTAATGTTCATATACGTTATAAATTTTGAGTAATAACATTAACAACTATATAGCTCAGAGAAGTATTTCTTTTTATATAAGGGGTCGGCAATTGTTTTGTAAAGGGCTTCGTACAGTCTTTGCCTCATGTTCTTCTTTGTTTTGTTTTTTAGTTTTATAATATTGTAAATGTAAAAATCATTTCCAGCTGAAAGCTGTGCAAAATAAAGTCAGGGTTTTAATCTATGGATTGTGGTTCACAGACCATAATTACTAGTAATAAAAACAGGTCCTATTTTTTAGTTAGAAGTATCTGTTGTTTTTTCAATACCCTCTCAATGTGAAACAATTTATTATGCAATATGTTATAAATAATCCTTTAATTTCAACTTTCTACATATGGCTAGCCTGTTTTCCCAGCACCATTTATTAAATAGGGAATCCTTTCCCCATTTCTTCTTTTTGTCAGGTTTGTCAAAGATCAGATAGTTGTAGATATGCGGCATTATTTCCGAGGGCACTGGCCATCAGAGAAATGCAAATCAAAACCGCAGTGAGATACCATCATCTCACACCAGTTAGAATGGCGATCATTAAAAAGTCAGGAAACAACAGGTGCTGGAGAGGATGTGGAGAAATAAGAACACTTTTACACTGTTGGTGGGACTGTAAACTAGTTCAACCATTGTGGAGGTCGGTGTGGCGATCCCTCAGGGATCTAGAACTAGAAATACCACTTGACCCAGCCATCCCATTACTGGGTATACACCCAAAGGATTATAAATCATGCTGCCATAAAGAGACATGAACACGTATGTTTATTGCGGCACTATTCACAATAGCAACGTCCAACAATGATGGACTGGATTAAGAAAATGTGGTACATATACACCATGGAATACTATGCAGCCATAAAAAAGGATGAGTTCATGTCCTTTGTAGGGACATGGATGAAATTGGAAACCATCATTCTCAGCAAACTATCGCAAGGACAAAAAACCAAACACCGCATGTTCTCACTCATAGGTGGGAATTGATCAATGAGAACACATGGACACAGGTAGGGGAACATCACACACCAGGGCCTGTTGTGGGGTGGGGGGAGTGGGGAGGGATAACATTAGGAGATATACCTAATGCAAAATGACGAGTTAATGGGTGCAGCAAACCAACATGGCACATGTATACATATGTAACAAACCTGCATGTGGTGCACATGTACCCTAAAACTTAAAGTATAATAATAATAAAAAAATCCTTTAATTATTCTTTCTGTATTTAGAAGTAATATTTTTGTTAATACATTAAGATTTATTGAATAAATGAAAAAGAAAATCAAATGGACAATATTTAAAATATAAAATTTTAACTTATTTAATAATTTTAGTGTATTAAATAATATTTTCTGGTTCAATAAATCTTCACAATTTTGATGAATAAGTAAGAAATATTAACCAGAGTTAGAATGTTATTTGAAGTTAAACAAAATAATAATCTAGTTGTTCTTTATTTAAATTTCATATTGAGTTCACAATAATTCTTAGCATTTGGAAAAATAAAGAAAAGATAGCCATATCACAAATTGTTAATTTGGATTATGTGCCATGTAAATTTGAAAGTTGATGATAATAATGATAATAGTATCTTCTGCCTAGCATGTAAAATTTTAGACAGAGCATCACTCTCTCCTTAACAATCAGTATAGCTTGAATAAATGACAAAAGCATAAGTTTTCTTCAAACCATCAAAGAGCTGTGGTTTCATTCTAATTAAGCTTTTAAAAAAATAAAAAGAGAGACTCCCTCTTCTCAAAGAGAGATGACACATGCACACTGTCATACTTTTGATGAATATAGGAAGATATTCCACTGCCATACAAGCAGGTAAATAAAAATTAGTTAACATTTTAACAAACTGGTATAAGCAGATTGTGGGCTAGTATGAAAGTCACCTAGGGGTATGGCAGGGAACAGACACAAGAGCCCAGTCACTACGAGGTTCTTTTCCATGACCTCTGCAGAGTGCCGAGGAGACACACTAGAAAGATGATACATCGGCAATTGAGACAAAGCAGAAATTAATGATGAAAAGGCATGAATCCCTAATTCCATGTTCAGAATCTTCTCTAATGGCTCTAAGCCCTTAATCAACCGAATAAAGGGCACATGTCACACCCACGGCTCAGGTAAAGACGCATTTTGTTGCGAGAATAGGAAGGAATAATCCTCTAAACCTAGGATGGAGTAGGAAACAGTACTGACCCCTTGAGAGCCTATCTATTACCATTAGAGGTCTCCTCCCTCTTGGAGAGTGGCAGGAAATTTCACTTGCACAAGACTCACCATTGTTACAAGGCAGAATTTATCTTTCATGACAAAGGGGGACAGTAATGCTGAGAAAACTGCACTACTGAAGCTGAGGAATAATTAGGTAGGTAGGCCCAGAATGAAAGAGAATGCACTATGTCTCTCAAAAGAAATCTCTAAATAGCCTTTGAGTCAAGAATGGACTCACTGTGAAAATTAGAAAATAGCTTGCATTAAAATGAAAGCGCAACATACCCAAAGTTGTGGCTCCACAAGTAAAACAACACTTAAAATGAAATTTATAACATTAAAAGCTTATATTAGAATAGAAAGAAGGTTGTGAATCAATAGCTAAAATTTTAAGAAACTAGAAAAATAGAGCAAATTAAAACCAAAACAAACAAAAGGAAAGAAATAAAACTAAGAGTGAAATCAATGAATTTGAAAACAGAAAAACAATAGAGAAAAGCAATGCAACCAAAAACGTATACATAAAAACATTAATACTGATAAACATATAACTAGATTGATAAGGAAGAAAAAAGAAGACAAATTACCAGCATCGGTGATAAAGAGAGGACATCACTATAAACATTATGAATATTAAAAGAAGGAGAAATATTTATGCCTAACTTTACACCAATAAATTAGACAACTTCAAAAAAGTGAACAGATCCCTTGAAAGACAAAATGAGCAAATCTCACTGAAAAATAAATAATCTTAATAGTAATATATTTATTTTAAAAACTGAATTGTTAGTTTACAATATTCCCGCAAAGAAAACTTTATGGCCAATTGGCTTCAGTGGTGAATTCGGTCAAATACTCAAGGAATAAATTGAAACAATTACACACGAACTGTTGCAGAAAGTAGAAGAGGAGAGAACACTCATTTTATGAGGCCAGCATCACTCTCGTACAAAAATCAGAGAGAAAGAGAGAGACAGCGAGACAGAGTGAGAGAGAGAGAACTATATGTAATACCATTATTTTATGAATGTATGTTCAGCCATACACAATGAAATATTAGAAAGTTAAATTCACTAATATACTAAAAATATGATACATGATGATTAAGATTAAATGGGCTTCATTCTGGAAATGTATGGTTAAACATTCAAAAAGGAAACTATTTAACCATATCAACAGACTAAAGAAACACATATAATTATCTTAACAGATGCAAAGGAAGCATTTGACAAAATTTAGGGTACATATAAAAAGATTCTCTAGGCAAATTAAGAATCAAAGTGAAGTGTCACAATCTGGTAAAGGATATCTAAGATAATCCTGCATCTTATGTTATTCTATCATGCTTAATGATAAAATGATAAACGCTATTCAGCTAACAGCAAGAAGTATATACATGAAAACAAGCCTGACTTAAAAAAAATAGTATGTACAACATAGCCAAATCAAGCAAGAATGATTAAAAAGGTAAATTATAGTATCTGGAAATTAGCATTGAAGGGTTATGTTAAGGTTTATGTGATACCACGTGTTACATACACATAGATTTTCAAATTGTAAGATATTTCCAGTTTTTCTACTGGGGATGGCAGTTATTTCGATACAATATATTGCTTGAAAAATCAAGCCAGAAAAAGTCAAGTATATCCACTTTTACCACATCTGTTTAACATTGTATAGAGTTTTTACACAGTGCCAAAGCAAAAAAAGAATAAAAGAAATAGAAAGCATACAGATGGTACAATAGGACATAAACCCACCTTTATTCTCAGAAGATATGGTTGTCTGTATAGAAATCCCTGAAAAAATCTATTAAAAAATCTATTAATAAAAATTGTATTTATAGAGTTTCAAGATACAAAATTCATATACAAAATATGTTTTATTTTTTCAAATATTTTTCAATTAAAACTATAATTACCATTTATAATAGTACTAACTATATGGAATACTTACGTATAATTATAACAAAATATGTACAGAATTTTCATGCTTGAAATTCTAAAACATTGATGAGAAAAAACATCAAAAATGAACTAAGTAAATGCTAGAGATACACCGGTTTCATGTATCACAAAATTTAATATTGTTAAATAACAATTTTCTCCAAATTGATTTACAGATATATAATCCCATTCGAAATTCTAGCAGGATTTTTTGTTGTAGGAATAGATAGCCCTAGTCTACCCTTACAGACCACATGCTTTTATGACACACTTCATAGCTACAGTGAACAAAATTGTATTTCAGAAAGTATAAGCATGTAGTTTAATAGTACAGAACAGAGTCCAGAAACAGACTCACATATATAAGGTCAATTCACTTTCAACAAAGGAGCTAGAACAAGGAGAAAATGTATTAAAAGGAGAAAAGTTGGCTTTTCAGCAGTAGTAGTAAAATA
Organism: Homo sapiens; assembly: GCF_000001405.40. Classification (NCBI taxonomy): domain Eukaryota; kingdom Metazoa; phylum Chordata; class Mammalia; order Primates; family Hominidae; genus Homo; species Homo sapiens. Next base: position 67,372,287 of record NC_000006.12, on the reverse strand, counting down.
TTTGTATATCCATATGTCCTCCTCCCCCAAAATAATAGCCTGAATACATAACTTCTTAATATATGTGCACCAAAATTCATTCAAAGTAGATGATAGACCTGAATGTAAAACTTAAACCCACAAAATGTTTAGAAAAAATATGAGAGAGAATATTTGTGATCTTGGGATAGATAAATATTTCTTAGATAAAATGAAATAAGCATGAATCATAAAACAAACAAAAAAAATGATAGTTTAGATTTCAACATTTAAAAATTCTGCTCTTTAAACTATGGTGAAGCATATGAAAAAAGAAACCAGAGACAAGAAGAAAATGCACACAAAACACTTCTTTATATTGTAATTTGTATATAATAAGAATAACTGTACACATACATACAGATATGTTTACAACTCAGTTATGAGAATTAAAAAAAATTTAAAGGTTGCAAACCATTTGAATAGACATTTCACCAAAGAAGATATATAGATGGCATATAAGCACAGGAACTAATGCTCACCATTATTGATCCCTATAAAAATGTTCATTAAAACCTCGTTAATTTACTTTTACATACTTATTAGAGTCATTAAATTAAACAACAACTCCAAAAAAAATCCAGAAAACCTAAAATGCGAAGTGCTGTTTAGAATGAGAAAAAATTGTAGCTCTTATCATTGCTGGTAAAAACTGACATGGTATAACCACTTTGGAAAGTAGTTTGTCAATTTATTAAAAAGTTAAATATCATACCTGTAAATCCATTATTTGTGGTTTCTCCAGTGACAGTTATATTTAGGAATTCTTCCAATTCAAAGATCATAAAATATTTTTGTATATTTTCTTTCATTTATTTATATGTTCTATTTGTCTTGTATCTCATGTTTAAGGTATGAAGTAAAGATTGGGCTTTGTTTTGAATAAAAAATTAAATAAGTCTTTACACTTTAGCAATATGACTCTTGTAAGTATTAACCAAATATGTATGATGTGTATGTCCATGCACAGTCTTATATTTGGACATTTATAGTGGTTTTATTAATAAATACCAAAGACTTGTGACATTTCAAATTCTCTTGAACAAGTAAATGGATAAACCAATGGGTATGCATTCACACATTGAGATACCACTCAGCAATTCAAAGGAAAAAACTACTGATATTTGGATGAATCACAAATGCATTATGCTCTTTTAAGACAGACAAACTACAAAGGCTGTATGTTTTTAATTTTATTTGTATGGTCTTCTAGAACAGTGAAACTGCAGGGATAGAAAGTAGATCAGTGATCACCAGGTCAGAGTTCAAGTCATAGGATTTACTATGAAGGGTCACTAGCAAACTTTGGAGTGTTGGAACTAATTTGTATTTTGATTGTGATGGCAATTGTATGACTTTAACTGTTTTCCAAAATTCATAGAATATCATACCTGAAAGAGGTAAACTTAACTGTATATACATTATAACAAGCAAGACTTTAAAAAAATTGTATGTTCAACATAGCCAAATCAAGCAAGAGTGATTAAAAAGCCTAAGTATAGCATCTAGAAATTACCATTGAAGGGTTAAATTTTTTTTTCTGCTATGGTTTATGTGATGCCACTTATTTCATAAATGGAGATTAATAAATTATAATAAGATATTTTCAGTTTTCTACTGGCGAGGACAGTTATTTCTATACAATATATTATCTGGAAATCAGTTCCACAAGGTGACTATGATCAGTAGGTTACTTGGGAGTAAAATGCTCAAGAGGATAATATAAACTAAACTACATTACTACTTGTAAAAGAATTCTTGCATAATATTAATTCCAGCTGAATTATTAACAGAAAAAAATGCAAAAATGAAATATTTAGACCCATTGCTGACCCTTACTTAAATGACTGCAATCTAGAGTTTTGATTTACTCGTGGTTCTGCCATCTAATTAACACATTTTCAAGTAACAAATGCATCAGCATATAAGCATTATATCTCTATCAGCCTGGATCTTAAAAATAGTTTTGATATGCCAAATTCCTGGAATTTAGCAGGTATGCATCATGACAACCATCAGGACTTTGCATTTAATTATATGGATTTGAACTACGAGTAATGGTATGTGCAATTTAAGTGATATGATACACATTTTTAAAATCAGAAAATATTTTACTGAAATATTTATTTGTAACATAAATAGATATATTTATGTAAAATGTCAAGTTCTAAAGATAAATAGTGTAGAATTACACAAACTAACTGACAGTATTCCAGTTTATGACCATTAAGTCAGGCAATGGGATGTGAAAGGCAGAGAGAAAGCTTGTTAGTTCATGCAGAAATGTTAGGATTGTTTTATCTCTTTACAGGAATAAAGCAGAAGATCGGATCATATCAGCTGCCAGTGCTTGTTTCCTTGGGGAAAGATGGATATTGTGCATGTTATCTAAGTGTACTCAGAAGTGGCAAAGCTTTTGGTCTCATATTTTATCTCCTGTCAGCAAAGGGACTATCAACCACCAACTCCTGTTATAAAACAAGAGTCCAGCTCCAGAAAAGAATTCTGGCAGGAGAAGTCAGATTTGGACTCTTTCAGTTATATGCCTACTAAGGCATAATCTTCAGCACAAACTGGGGAATAAGGTTGACATTTCTTAAGGAAGGTCTTTCAAGGTAAGATTAAGTATCTTATATGTCTAGATATCTATTCATTAAGTATGTGACAGTAATGAACCTGCAAAAAGCATATTCTGATAAATCTGCTTATGGACTACTCATTAATAAAAAAAAAATACTAAAGTAGCACAGGAGAGAAGCCTAAGTGGCCTTTTTATTCAAAATTGATTGCTCTAACCACACTCATAGAAGCCATTATCCTTAGAAAAATAAGAAAGGAACAGAAAACCAAATATCACATCTTCTCACTTACAAGTGGGATCTAAATGATGAGAACACATAGAGGGGAACAACACGCACTGGGGCCTATTGGAGGCTGGATGGTAGAAGAAAGGAGAGGATCAGAAAAAACAACTAATGGATACTAGGTTTTATAGCTGGTTGATGAAATAATCTCTACAACAATCCCCCATGACACAAGTTTAAATATGTAACAAAAGTACACTTGTACCCTGAACTTAAATGATTTTTCAAAAATAAATATTGGTATTTTATTTTATTTTTTCATTCTTTGTTTTTGAGACAGGGTCTTGCTCTGTTGCCCAGGCTGGAGAGCAGTGGTGCAATCACAGCTCACTACAGTCTAGAATTTTGGAGTTCCTGGGCTTAAGTGATCCTCCTACGTTAACTTCTAGAAGAGCTAGGACTATGGGAGCAAACATCACCTCGCCTGGCTATTTTTTTTTTTTTTTTTTGGAGAGATGGGGGTCTCACTATGTTTTCCAGGCTGGTCTCGAATTCCTGGGCTCAAGTAATTGTCCTGCCTCAGCCTCACAATTTGCTGGGATTACAGATGTGACCCACTGCACCTGGCCAGAAATATTAGAGATTTTCTTATTTACTCATTTGACTTGCTCATTTTAAGAAAATCATTTACAAATTATTGTTCTATGATCAGCAAATGGTTCATAAAATTTAAAAAAAAGTTAACAAAACCTTGAAACAATTCCTATAAAGTTTTGCAGAGACTAATTACAGCTTGCAGGAGGAGAATAAAGGTATCAAAATGCTTTAAAAAATCCTTGCCCATTAAAGGAGAAAACAATGGTGTTTATAAGGCATAGTTGCTTTCATCTATTGCAAATTGTCACATTCACATAAAACATATGAAGAGTAATTGTTACATCATATTTTGAAAACAGTTGATTCAGGCTTACTCTATGGGTTGGGGTATGGGAGGTAGGGTACCTTCAGCTATTCGTAGTCCATTTGTGTGGAATAAATTCAATTGAATTCATCACAAATGGCCCAACTCTTCCCAGTATCCTATATACCATCACATGGGCTCACACATATGAAATGCCCAGTTGATGCATTCACTATGCCTATTTAGTTGCAACTGCAAGATACAAATAGACATTGACAAATGTCCCCTGTCCACTTTTGAAGATTATTTAGTGTCAATAAACTGGAAAAAGTAAAAATCTAGTACCTAATGGGGCAATTTACAAGCTCACTGAAACATACTCTATTCTCGATAAGGCCTGTTCTACATCATATATCTCTAAGTTGTATTCTGCAGTGATTCTTCACAACCAAATTGTTTCCCCGGAGTAATTGACCGATATATTGATTCACTAAACTTCATTAACATTCTAGTGCTGCAAATAGAACATATCATGTTTCCTATTTTATAGATGGATAAACAGAGCAATATAAAGCTTAGTCAATATCAGAGTATACACCCTAATACCAGGTTCTCGTTCTTTTACCTTTTTCTTGCAAAAATGTTAAAGCACAAATATGATATTAAATCTTCTAAGAACATATGCAATGGCATTTCATTAATATCAGTTTCATTATTTTTTAAGTCATTGTTCGTATATAATGATACCATAATAATATTGTCAAAATGACTTTGAATACAAAATTTAATAAACTGGGATTATAAATAATTTATCAATTTACTTCCAGTACATATCAGCTATTAACTTTATCTTTGCTACATTTTAAAATGTGAATATAACAAGATACTATTTAAAATAGTTATTTTAAAATATATGTACATATCTACATGCACTTGCAAGCATTTCAGTAAATGTGATATTTATATAACCAGTATAGTTCTATAGACAGATAGATATAGATGATAGATAGATAGACAGATAATAATAGATATATGCATACATACATACAAGATGAGAGTTTAATTTCTCTTTATAAAGGCTTATTGAATGCTGCCTGAGAGACCCCACACCAGCATGTCCTAGCTGGACAGGATTGCAGGGGTGGGGACTGAGGATGGAGGGTGTGTGGAAGGTCAATGAGTAATGCTTAGGGAGAAAATAAAAAAGTTGGTTGAGACGTTGTCACTTGCCTTCTATGCAGATAGAATTTCCTTATCTGCATATCTCATGGAAAAATGAAGAATTCTCATCTTACTCAGGAGCTACATGAATAGATATTTATTTAGCAATATAAAACAATATAAAACATTTTGAAAGTTTATCAAAGAATGTTGCACTTTTATAGAAACAATATATTATACAGGAGATCTTCTATGGGCTAGGTAGACATATGTAGTCACATTTACAAATATAAACATACCCTCTTTAAACAATTTGTTTATACATCTGATATATTAAAGCTGTTATGGATAGATGGTAAATAGATGAAACTACAGAGATAGATACACAGTAGATTGATACACAGACAGTACTCAATATATACACAGATAGTAAATAAATGATGGATAGATAATGTATGTTTTGGGTATATAAAACATTTAATTTTGCTTTCTGCTATACATCTCTCAGGTCTAGGTTTAGAGAGTTACCTGGTTAACTATAAAACATATGTGCTTTGGTTTCTGTGAGAATCAGGAGCTACTTTTGAGAACAATTTCAAACCTCCTTCCAATTATACAGCAATTCATTACTCAGCCCACTTTAAATATAAACATCAAGTAGCTAAAAAAAACACTTTAATGGACCATTAAAATATAGAGCATATTAATTTATAAATAAAATAGACTTATATACCCCAAAAAACTTATGCATAAACATCTTCTGTATACCCTCCTGTTATGGTTGGTTTGGCTGTGTCCCCACCTAAATCTCATCTCAAATTGTAATCCCCACAAGTCAAGGGAGTGACCTGGTGGGAGGTGATTGGATCATAGGAACAGTTTTTGCCATGCTGTTTTCATGATAGTGAGTGAATTCTCAAGAGATCCAATGGTTTAAAAGTGTGGCACTTCCCCGCAACCCTCTCTCCTGCTGCCTTGTAAAGAAGGTGTATGCTTCTTCCACTTCCACTATGACTGAAAGTTTCCTGAGGCCTCCTCAACTACGTGGAATTATGAGTCAATTAAACCTCTTTCTTTTATAAATTTCCTAGTGTCAGATAGTATCTTTATAGCAGCGTGAGAAAGGACTAGCACATCTTCCCCGACCCACACACACTATTATATCATTTTCTGAAACTGATGATTTAAAACAAATAATGAGACCTAAGGAGATTACAATATAATCTTAGTTTCAGTGCTTTATTCACATAGATTCTCATATGATAAAGAAAGCATTCACATATTACCTGTCTATTTAGTTAAATTTTTAAAATGTATTTATTTTAGAAATTTCAAAATAAAAATATTTGCAGACACTAATTGTAAAATAAAAATATTTGCAGACACTAATCTATCAAATTGCCAATCATAGGTAACAAGAATTAACTTCTTGTTATACTTCCTTAATTTAACAAAACTGACATATGTGTTGTAAGGTATTTGGTTTTCTGATATTTTCACTTAACACTTTTGTAACAATATCCCGTGAAATTAAATGTTGTAAGCATTTAGTATTGAGAGTTTGTTTTTCCAATCTTTTATACGTGTAAAATTTAAGTAGTATAAATATTGCTCTCCAAAAGTTCTTAAATATATTTTTGGATGAATATAGATGTTTTATGAATTATCACCTCAATATTTTAAGTGTATCTTTAATACTTTTGTGTTTTGTTTTACCATATTTCTTTATTCCCCTAAGTTGTATTTCTATTTATTTATCATACATGCTCTCACACAGAAAGTATGTCTGATTTTAGAGTAGTATGTTATCCAATATTGGGTCAATAAAACACCATTATGAAATCTAGTAAGCACTCAATTAATATTGATGACTGTTCAATGAACAAATCTTATTAGTTCTTATTTTTATGGAGTTCTTCATTTGTTTTGGCTTTTGCTTCATAGTCTATAAACCTTCATTAATTTTATTAAAGATATCTTGATATCAATTATTTTATTAGTAATTAAAATATTATTGCTACTCTATATTAGTAGCATTTTCCTAGAGCTTTATTTAACATAATTAAATATATAAACTAGGCTTATATTTAAATATGCTTTTTAAATCGGGAAATAGATTATTATCAAATAAGATAGAAGCTCTCTCTGTCTCTCATATATACATATATACACACATATTTATAATACATATATCATATATTATATATAAACACATTCATTTAAATATGATTTGTTTTTCAGAGGCTAAATTGTGTCAACTAACTTTAAAATGTTTAATTTAAAACCAGTACTCTAGATTTTTGCCTGTGTTCTACCCAGAGAGTAAATATTAGTGATGTTCTTTAGTCTTATATGGTTTTATCAATTTTCTGAGTTTTCCTTTTATAGATATTTTAGTGTTTGAAAAATGTTCAGAGGAGACAGCTAGAAGACTTACAAAATGAAAATTTGAGACCCTGCCTTGACATCTCACTACTTTAATCCCATTGAGATGGCTAAAATTAAGTGGAAATAAAATGAAATTTGTACCAGGATTGAAAAGCCAGAAGATAGCATCATCAAGGTGGACAGTTTAAGTACTTACTGGTATATATGAAGCAGATAGGTTCAAGTTAAGGAAATTTTCCTTATTTCAACAAATATACAAGAATATCAGTTCGACTAACGCTTGCATTTTCCTGAGAAATCAATGGAAATCATCTATATGAATTGCAATAAGGACAATAAACAAGGAGGATGTTGAAGATGTTATTAGGGAACAATAAAATAGTTTTGGGTATCCCACAAGTACATTGTAAATAGCTGTAATGTTCAGCCTTCACATGCTTTGAACATGGTGTTAATTAAATCACAAGGTATGTCAAGAATGATTCTTAGTGAATTGTTAGAATACATAAAGAGAGAATGCAGTTATCCTCTAACTTCTTGCTACCCAAATAATAAGAAACATAAATTTGCTACAATTTTATATATCCCTAAACTCTAAACTACATCGACTCATTGAGTGTCCCTCCTATATCCTGTAGACAACTAAAACTGTGGTTGTGATATCTTTCATGTTAGCATCACAAATAAACAGAACAAGAGAAAGAGGAAATCAAAGCCACCTATGATGTAGAGAATAGCACCAACCATTGGCCCCAATGAGTAATTTGGAAAAATTTAAAAAAACAGTTAAAACTTGACAAGAAAGAAAGTTGCTTTTTCTAAAGATTTTTGCCAAATAACAAATGAAAGCATTACTTCATTCTTGAGGTGAAAAATCAGGTTTGCTTATTTGCCTATTTACGAAGATTATAGCATCAGCATATATCCTTTGATAGAGAACAAACTGAAAGAAACTGGAAGGAAGTAAAAATAAAAGGATTTCTTTAAAAATGAGTTTGAGGAGGTCGGGTGCAGTGGCTCATGCCTGTAATTTCAGCACTTTGAGAGGCCGAGGCGGCAGATCACTTGAGGTCAGGAATTTGAGACCATCCTGGCCACCATAGTGAAACCCTGTCTCTATTAAAAATACAAAAATTAGCCAGGAGTGGCAGCGCACGCCTGTAATTCCAGCTACTCGGGAGGCTGAGGAAGGAGAATGGCTTGAACCAGGGAGGCGGAGGTTGCTGTGAGCCGAGATCTTGCCACTGCATTGTAGCCTGGGCGATAGTGGGAGACTCCATTTTAGAAAAAAAAAAAATGAGTTTGAGGAAATAAAAAACAGAGTCAGCTCTCTGATTTTAGGTGGTTTTTCTTGGATTGCCCTGCGTGTATTCCGTGTGTCTATGGTTATATTTGCGTGTTTTTGAGTAGGTGTATTCCTATTTAAGTACGTTGCTTCAGATAAATGAAAGTCATTATGTTCTTTTTTGTGACTCAAAACCGCACCATGTTTCTCTAACTACAAGCCTACAGAAATGCTAAATATTTACTTCATAGCGAGTTCCTATAAATCTATAACATGGGTCATGTATATGAAAATATTAATGGAAATTTTCCTTAATGGGAAGACTTTCCAATGCTGGTTTTCTTTCTTCCTCTATTGCTTTCAGGTTCCTTTTTACGCTCGTCTTTCCTAGGGTCACAGAAATTCCTGTAAGTCCTAGCTCTGCTCTAAGATAAAGTGCATCTTGTCCCTTTAAGAGCTAGTTACCTTTCTATTGCAAAACATCTAGCCAGACATTAACTCATACCTCAGAACTTTTGTCTCACAGATATATACATCACATCCTTCACGCCCACAATGGAAGTGGACACATGTCAGTATGGTTTATGTGGTTCCCTTGACTTCCCACTCAACTTACTTAAGACGAAAAGAAAACCATCAGCTCTTTTCACCACGCACAAACACCAACTTGACAGTCCTGTCTGAACCTTTCTACCTCAACTCTTGTGTTCACAAGGTGAGTGAGGTTAATGTTGGCTCAACAGATTTTTATCATCCCATGGATTTCCCTATACGGGTAGATTTAGTTTGAGAATATGGGGTTACCTGGTGAGAAATGTAGTGTTCTTGTTCTTTGAAAACTCAGTCAAGCCTGAGAAAGAGTCTCATTTTAATATCCTGTTACTGTAATTTACTGTTAGACAAATACTGTAAGTGGAAATTTATATATGTGAAATATATAGCAAATTTGAACTCTATAGGTTTTGTAAGAATACACACAGTTACAAAAATATTATGGCTTTATTTTCCCAAGACCTCATCAATTGGTTAACATGCTATACAACTTTGCTAATGAGATAGGGAAAACGATCTTATTATAGATTTAATGTTTACATAATGACTTTATTGAGGCATGACTGACATTCAATAAGCTGCATATAAATTCATGCTTCACACACATTAAATATGTTTATATATTTAATTTATCATCATATCTATACATTATCTGTGTACTCAAACTGTCACCACAATCAAGATAATGATTATAACCATTACCTCAAAAAGTTTTCTCAAGCTCTTTTGTAATCCCTTTCTCCCGCCCCTCTTGCCCCTATTCTCATACCCTCTCTACAGGCAACCATTGGTATACTATCACTATACATATGAGTTTTCAGGTTGTAGAATTTTTCTTCTACCAAACTCATTAAGGTAATCAGATTGAATTTTATTAAATAGAAATATATGCTATGCACACTTTTTTGAAATTTTTCTCTCAGCATACTTACACTGAAATTCCTCCATGTTGTGTGTATAGCAACAGTTCTTTAAATGTTAATGGTATTTTATTGTATGGATATACCACAATCTATTTATTAATTCAACAGTTATTAGATATTTGCATGGTTTTTACTTTTTAATTATTAAGAATAAAGCCGCAATGAACATTTACATGAATACAAATGCAAGAACATTTGATTTCATTTCTTTGCGGTTAATATCTTGGAGTATCAAGTAAATTCTACTTGATGCTCACTGTATTTCTACCTCAGAGTCTGACTAACTAGAGCGGTTCACATATGCATAGAAACAGCATAAAAATAAACCTTACTTGCCCAAACAATTATAAAAGGGAAATGCTTGATGCAAGTATTAAAACCAATATGCCACCAAACAAATATATCGAGAGTGCAGGTGATATTTTCTTAAACTGATTTTTATTTTTCTAATAACAATAAGTAGATTATTTATTGGCAAGGTCAAATATAAAAAGACATGTCCGTAAAGATGAGTGAAGAGTAAGAAACCTGCACTTGTGCCCCTTAAATATATAAAAGTTTAAAGAAAGAAACAAAAAAGTGGAGAGTGAAATAGAGAAGCTGTTTTACTACTGGCTCCCTCTTGCCTTCAAATAGCATGGAAGGGTAAATTCAAGAACAGTCTTGGTTTTTTCCCATATTTATCATGTAATGTCATTTTAGTAGTATTATTATGATTTTTACTTTCACTTTCATTTTAGATATAGAGGGTACATGTGCGGGTTTGCTACATGGGTATATTGCACCGAAGTAAGGAGCATAGTACCCAACAGGTAATTTTTCAACCCAGGCCTGACTCTCTCCCTCCTCTAGTAGTCCACAGTGTCTATTGTTCCCATGTTTAGGTACATGTGTGCTCAATGTTAAGCTCCCACTTTTAAGTGAGGACATGCAGTATTTTGTTTTCTGTTCCTGTGTTAATTTAGGATTGTGGCCTTCAGCTCCATCCATGTTGCTGCAATGGACATAATTTCCAATTTTATGGCTGTTTAGTATTACATGGTACATATGACCACATTTTCTTGATCCAACCTTCCATTGATAGGCACCTAAGATTGATTCCATGTATTTACTATTGCTAATACTGCAACAATAAACCTACAAATGCCTGTGTCTTTTTGGCAGAATGATTTATTTTCCTTTATGTGTATACCAGTAATGGGATTGCTGGGTCAAATGGTAGCTCTGTTTTAAGTTATCTGAGAAATCCCCAACCTGCTTTCCACAGTGACTGAACTAATCTACATTTCTTCCAACAGTGTATAAGTGTTCCCTTTTCTGCAAAGCCTCACCAGCATCTGTTGTTTTTTGACTTTTTAGTAACAGCCATTCTGATTTTAGTGAGATGGAATCTCATCGTGGTTTTAATTTGCATTTCTTTGATGATTAGTAATGAGCATTTAAAAATATTTCTTGATTGTATGACTTTAATAAGAAAAATCAAATAACTCCATTAAAAATGGGCAAATAACATGAATAGATACTTCTCAAAAGAAGACATACAAACATAATGTCATTGTAATTTGATTGAAATTATTATCTACATATCAACATGTAGAAAATTTTAATATTTTATATGTAGTCCAATAATCATTAAAAGCATTCCCTAAAGAACATAACCTAATAGGAAACACTTTTAAAAGGTTTGCAATAGTAGTAAATTATTATTTGTTGTGCCTTCTAATATTTTTGTGACTATGATAAGATATTCATAAGATAAACTTTACTTCAAATATATATCTGCCTGGTTCCAAGCCCAAAATTGCATGATTATTCTGTAATTTTAAAGTTAGTTTGACAGCATTTTAAATCTCATTTTTTTTAACCTGCCACAAAATATTGAGATTTTCTAAATATGAATTCACTTATTTCTTATGACACCATGCTATATTTATAGCTGCTCTAAAAGTGATTTTACAGACATGTAATCCAGAAGTAATTTTCTGATATATAGTTCCAACAAGAAAAATATTCAATAACATCATTGAGGAAATTATATTTAGCATTAATTGGCTGCTTATGAGTATTTAGAATTCAAACAAATAAATATCTATAAAAACATCCACTCTCCCTAAATTTCCCTGTGAACATTACAAAATTTTAATAAATTGAGAGAATTTTGATTTATAAAAATAAAGTTATTGTTTATAGGACTATTTGCTATACACATACTTTATTAATACCCAAAAATTATTCTAGTAACACAGACCTGCTCTGCAGAGTTAAAAATATAATAATGCCATTGAAGCAGATGGCACCTAAAAGATGTTAATTACTTTTATTCCATCAAAATGAAAGATATTAATGATCTATTTTCTTAAAAGGCTAATTTTTAACTTTTTTATCTGCAAAATGGCAATTGTATATGATCCAAATTTATAATTTTATGAGAGAATTCAAACAAACTGAGTTGAGTTCTGGGACTTGGCTCCTTGGCATGGGCTGGATTCAGATGTGTCAGAGTGACAGATGTGAATTGCAGTACCTCCTACCCAGAGTCACACAGCTCCAGACAATATAATGCTTGTAATTATACCTTAACTAACTTGTCTTGAGTAGAGAGATTCCCTGATGACTATCTAATTACTCTAAATGGTCAAATAATTATTCTCATATAAACAATAAAAAAAAACTCCAAGGATAATTGCTGTTGGTTCTCCTTAACTTCACTAGCCTCTTATTGCTCCTCTTTAGGTCTTGTTCTGAAATTCTGCTTTGGACCTAAAAAAGGACTGGCATTTAGATGGAGGGAGAAACAAAAGTGCATTCAGTTTACAGAGTGAAAGCTAAGCTGTAAGGGCAGCTCCTCACATGAACTAAGCATTTCTCCTCAGAGAAGGTCCTAACAGAATTTTATTTCTGATGTGTTTTGAAATACATTAAGCATTAAATGATGTTGACAAATATCCTAAGTTTAAATGCTCCAAGTGTTAGAATCTGTAGATTTTTATTAAGCATTGCATTTACTATAAAATGTTCCCTGACATAGTTTCAGCAGAAAGTTTTATCAACTTAAAAAAATAACCTGATCCAGTCACCGTATTCATGGGGCCATAAGAATAAACTAAGTTGAGTTGCATTCAGATTTCTGTGCTAGGTGGCTACATTTCTCTTTTGAGTTTTTTTTAATGACCAGAATCTTGTAAAACTGAGTGAATAAGTAAATATTATTATAAAGTTATACTTTTATAACCAATTATTGTCCAGCAGAACACCAGGCATTGTTTTCAATCCCAGATGAAAACTCCAAACACGTTTGCCTTTTGCATCTTGGTGTTGGAGTCACCAGGGGAAACACGACACGGTTCAGCACCAGGTGGAACAATGCTTTCCTTACATAGAGAAGACACGGAGCAAGATCAACTTCAGCGGTGTGAGTTGGTTCCCGATGGCTAGTGGGTATTCCTTGGCAGCTAACTCAGAGCAGTGTGCCAACGTGCACCCATCTTTTGGGGTGGGGAAAGGACTATGACCAGGCCTGAGGGAGTACCTGAGAGCCATTGATGAATATGCTTAAGCAGAAAAAGGGAACACTCACAGAATCAGAAACAGAAAGATATTTCCACACAGGCGATAAGCCTGGTACCTGCCATGTGGATACTTTATCTCTTGGTAAGATGGTGTTCCAGGCTCAAGGCCCATTCTTACGTAGCAGCCAACGGGGTCAAAAGACACATAAAACTGCACATAAAACTGCCATAAAGAATCTCATAGTGATGACTATGAGATGGATGCCTCAAACCAAAATTTGGTTTGGATGTTCAGCCTGATATTGCCACACATGCAGCAAGAGGGTATAAAAAGTTTTATTGCTGTCTTTATTGGGCTTTTGTGAAAAGCGGAGCAGACTCCCAGCAGATTCAAAAATGGCTTGAGTGAGCAGAGAAGGAAAACATGTGTGAGTTATATCAGTCTAATAAATATAACAAATGTTCTTATGCAGACTCATAAAAACATTTGTCTTTGTGGTCTGTTTTCTATTCTTTTAAAAGTTAATATAATTTATCTCAAAAAGTTTTATTTGATTCTACAATTGTCCTGCTGTATCAATTTTTAAACATAAATTCATATAAAATACACTGTAAAATGCTAAACCAATAAAAATACAATAAAAGACACTGCAATTAATTTGTATTCTTCCCTCTGAGACTATATTTTTTCATTTAATAATGGGTAATGTTGAAAAGATCAGTTAAAGAAAATAAATTATAAGAAAAATAAACTGTAATTACAGATATTGTCTCTCAATACGAATATTCATTTTTTCAAGTATTAGTTAAAATCTTTGTTAGTTTCTTTATACATATGTTTTACTTTATTATCCCTTCAGAGTAATAAAATATACTTATATTTCATGTAATATGTAAAATATAATTACCTTTAAATATGTAATCAGTAATCATTTAAGTGTAACATTTTTATAATATATTTAAAATGTAAAATAATGACTACTTTGTTCATTCAAATCATTAGTAAACATTGTATAAATGTCAGCATATGAAGTGAATGTTAAATTAAAAATTTTTTCCTGCTCATAAAACTATTAACTTTCAGTTTTAAAATATATTTTGTCCTCTGAACCTCAGTAAATATGATATTTACATAATGGGTTCCCTATTTAAAAACAAGCTATATTTATTGAAGCAAGATTATTCCATTTAACAAACATAATGTGGTGAAATCTATTTTTGCTTGTTTTTTTTTTCTTTTTAAAAATATTAATTGTAAAATATCTTAGTAAAAGTAGAAGTATTAAGGCTTATGGGAGTCTCCTTGCCATAGCTAAATTTGAGACAGGTGATAATTAACATTACTGTATTCACCTATGAATGGCGATCAACAGGACATTATGCTAATTGAAATAAGCCAAACAGAGAAGGACAAACACATCATGATTTCCCTTATACTTGAAGTATAGAAAAAGTGCAATTGACAGAAGCAGAGAGTAGAATGGTGGTTGAAACTAGGATTTGGAGAGAATGGGGAAATATTAGTCAAAAGGCACAAACTTTCTGTTATAAGATGAATAAGTTCTAGGGATCTAAGATACACAGCATGGTGATTATAGTAAAAAATGCTTTATTGTATATTTAAAATTTGCTAACTTTGTAGATCTTAAGTATTCTCCATACACACACACACACACACACACATAAAAACTATGTGAAGTGATGGATGTATTAATCAGCTCCATTGTGGTAATCACTTCAGGATGTATATGTATATCAGATTATCAAGTTGTACATCTATAATGTATATAATTTGTATTTATTAATTATACTTCAATAAAGCTGGGAGCAATTTTATAATATGGAAATTAGGGACGTTTCATTGAAATGCACTCTAGAAGATAGAGTTTCCTTGCTAAATTAAGATCCTCTTTGACAATGACGTATTTGTATTTTTTTTACTTACCTTGAGTTTTTATTTTGTGGCTATTTGTAATGAAAGGTACTTTTTTTAAAATTTAGTTTTTCATCAATGCTTTGAAGAACATGTGTCTGCAATTTTTACAACTCAACTGAAAATGAAAAATTACCTTTGAATCTGGATGAAAAATTAAAAACAATATTAAGTATGTTTCCTTCGAATTTGTCAGATATTCATTGCTCAGCCAATGCTTGGATACCATGTCAGGTACACATATGAAAGTTCTTAACTTTGCTGCATCACACAGATAAATAGACTCAAATGCACTTCTAGTAAAACTCCTGTGTTTCCCATTATTTTCTCCATCCTTAATCTTTGCCCCAATTATACTTCAACATTTTATTAAATTATTATCCTAATGCTCTTTATCTCCTTCTTGACAAATTCTACAAACTTTCTTTTCTTTTAGATGTTTTGACTTCTATAGGCTTCTCCTCATACTCTAGTCCACTTTGTTCTCTCATTCTTAAAATGTTCTTCTTCCTTCATATGTTCATTTACCTACTTTTCAGTTTCTAGCTTCCCATATTAGAACTCCTTTTTTACTTCAATATCATCCAAAAATTATTTTTTGGTCAGCTGATCCTCCGTAACTCTATGATTCCCTCCATGGCCTTGACTTGTTGCAACATTATAATGAATTTCTTTGTCCCTTTTTCTAAATCTAGATGACTCCGTCTAAGTAACTGATAGAAATGAAAGTCCATATCTTTATCTATGGAGTACAAAACTGTAAAGAAACATGTAGAAGAATAAATTCATTATTTGCACTCTATATCAATCCAAACAAAAAATTTTAGTCATCTCTGTCATTCATCCCCTAAATAATAATAAGAAAAAAATAGTTCTTAAAACATACCTTAGCTATATCTTTCATTTGATTTCTTGACCATTAACTTGGGTCATGCCCCATATTTTCCTAATTTAGGCTCCATTTCCACCTCTCCCTATAACAAAACAATCTTTCTGAATTCTGCACTCAAAATGCATTTCACGATTTATTAGCCTTACATTTAAGAACATTTCTAGCTTGCCAATATTCTTTTCATATCTTTTCTCTACTCTTTTACAGACACTTGCACTGCAGCCAAGTTATCTGCCTTATGAACAATGTTTTGTCTTAGAAGTCTCTCTTTGTTTTTATAAAGTGACATGATTTCTTACTCTGTTATTAATGCCTACTGATCTACTTCTTTAATAAACCCATCACATATTTTCACCATGTAATCTATAGGCACTTTTTCTGCAGTGTTAACATCATCCTCATCATCCACTTGTGACATCATGCCAGCACTGAAAATGATTTGAATTTTGCCGCATTTCAAATGTCAGATTTTCAGATTAGGGATGGTCTTTCATTATCTTACATAGGACTTAATTCAACCATTTATTGTTTGTGTGGAAGGGGCAAAAATAAAGGAGGCTGCTGGAAACAAAATTCTTGTTAAACTCAGTGTGTGTTATGAAAAAGGCTTGTCCCCACCCCAACTGTCATGCCTGATTAGGGATTGCCCACTTTACTTATTACATTATTACCCTGTTCCTCACCAACCCACTCCCCTCACTTGCCCTGCCTTCTGTCACATACTTCTTCAAATTTGTTAAGATATAATTAGACCTTTGTAAAAAAATATGGATAAATATCCCCCCAAGAAACATAGACTCAGATAATTAGGTTGTTTTTGTTTTTTACTTACTTATATTTTTAAACTTGCTAAATACTATTTTGGTCACATTGGGTAAAAACTAATCCAACTGCATAATGGTAGAGAGCATTTCAGCTTCCCTAATTTATTCTTATACTTTGATTTCATAAATAATTTTTCTTTAACCTTGTGTTCTCTATCCTTCTATCAGTCCATGCTACCTAGTCCCTACTTATGATTTATCAGTTGTTATCTCAAGTATCACCTAGGTGATAGTGTCGTTTTTTTTCTTTCTCAGATTGACTCACATTAGGCACAGAGTGGACTCATGGAAATGAATAAAGTATGGATGCTTTAATACAAAGTTGTGTCCCCTTTAAAAATTTCACTTATTTCTCCTAAGCCAGCTTAACTCAAGTATGTCACTCCTACAATAATTGTAAAACTCATGTGTATCACGAAGGAATGTATGTTACTTTTATTAAAAGCTAAGGTTTTATTAGTGAAAAATAATGATCCTAAATGTAGATTTACTGATTTCTTCTGTAATTCTCATTACAATATATTCTCGTATTAACCAAAAAAAAAAAAAAATGGCTATTTAGAGACTAAGATCTCAGTGAGGATTGACACTGTCCTGAAATCTATTCCTTTTTTTTTTTGTAATTTAATCTCTGCTCTAAGCAGTGCTTTAATGCTGAGACTCAAAAGATAAATAGGAATTATCCTGATAGGGAAGTTTCTGTAAAGGCATTCCAGGGATGCTGAACTTCCTTACTGCAAATTCTCAACTAGCCTAAAATCTACTTCCCCTAGACTAACACAAAATTCTTCCTTCTGCTTTGCCTTTTTCTTACCCTTTTAGCCTTGTGCAGAGTAGTACTCTTTTAAAAATGTAAATCAGATCCTTTTATTTCCCTGCTTAAACCCTTCAATGGGTTTCATTGCTATTAAAATAAAATCCACACTTTTTTCCATGATCAATAAGGCTAACATCATTCTGCTTAATTCTCTAAATTCGCCCCTTATTATTGCCACTCTAACTCAGTGTTGTTCCGTCCCTCTGACATTCTTTTTTAGTCCCTCATTAAAGTCAAGCCTTTTGTAGCTTTCGGGACTTTTTATATCACTCCTCACTTCACACAGTTCTTCACATACTTGACTTATTCTAATCTCTCACCACACAGGTCACATCTCTAGAGAGGCCTTTCATTTTTTAAACACAAAAGGAAATCCAATTAAGCTTACACAGGCACATACACACATACAGTATTAGTTTTTTTCATAACTAAATCTTCACAAGGAAGAGTAGCATTTGATCCAATTGTCCATTCACAACACCAAAATGATGGTTTCTTTTTCCTTTCCCCCTCAGTTTTTTTGTTTGCCCAATTCATCCTATGTCACTATCCATGCACCCCACCTGAGAGTTTTTAGTAACCCCAAGGTCTTTATGCTTCAATGTATTTATCCAATTTGAAAGAGTAATACAGTGCCATTAGCTTTTTTGAAACTATATGGAAGAAACTTTCTTTTTTGAAAATATATGGAAGCAACTTTCCCAGGAAACCTTCAAAGAACTTGCTGTTGTGCCTCACCTTAAACCAATCACTATTTTCAAGGGAATGAAGGAGGGTGCAGTGCTTGATACAATAGTGTTCACCCCCCAGAGCTTGGAGATGGGGAAGGTTAAAAGCTTTAAGAGAGCAAGAAACCCTTAATGAGATGGAGGGAAACTTGGCAACCTGACAGAGAATAGTGAATAGGAGAGGGAATGGAGCAGGATACAGAAAATCAGCAGACATCCACTCTATTCTTCTTGTTGACTTTCTATTTTACTGCTCTGTGTATTAGTTATCTCACTAAGAGGATGGTAAGTGCCTTTTTAAACCCTTGTATACTGCAGCATCTAGGCCACATACACAATGATTTTGCTGAGTGAATCAATAAATGATGGAGTTATAAAGTAGTATAACATATGGAGAAATACAGTGAGCTCAAGAGATAGAGCTAAAATATAAGCAGCGGCGTATCATGAAGGACCCTGTATACTCTATGAGTATAAGCTCGGTTGTGTCACAACAAAAAATGATGCAAATACTCAATAACTTAAAGCAGTAAAAGTTTATTTATGCTCATACTCTCTATGCAAAATTGATGCTTAGAGCTCTGTATACTGTCTTAATCAGAAGCCCATGTTGATGGCGGCTTACCGCCATCTGTTTCCGCCACTATTGCATCATGAGGAAGGTTAATAGGGAGTCTTTCACTGGCTGTCGGTTTTGGTAAATAAATGATCATGTCACCTCCGATCGCATTTTATTAGCTAAAACAAGACACATCTAGCTTCAAATGGGAAGCAAAAAAGTACTATTAACTACGTGTCTGAAATATTTGTTTCAAAACAGCATATGTAAGGGTCTTTTATCAAATATAAAGGACATATGTGGGCAAGAGAAATTGGAACAAAAAGAATAGGAAGGGTATATGTTCAAGCACTAATAACAATTTCAACCTAGTTCATAATGGGGGGGGACATACTATGGTTTATTTTCACGTAAGATTGAAAATAAAACATTGCCTTATATTTAAATTAACTGAATGCTTAAAAGAAATCAACAGACAGTATACAAATAAACTATATAGAAGAAAATAAAGCTGAAATGTTGGTCAATTTTAAAATATTTATTAGGGAATACCAATATAAAATATTGAGTAAAAAACTGTTGAGCCAAGACCTGAATCCATATTTTTCTTACATCAAAATAAATGTCCTTCTCTTTATACTGTTTCAGTTTGAAACAAAAGCAAGCAAACAAGTAAACAAACAAAAACTACCAAACTCTTTACTCCCGACTTACAATGTTCTCTTCTATTTGGAGAGTTATCTACTGGCATAACGCTCTCAGCCCCATTTGTCCTCCTACTTACTTTTACTCTGAGTAGAAATTTGATTTATGTTATTGGTAAATTTCAAAAAGAAAATAAATGTACTTAACTCAATTTTTTATTTCTTCTTTTTTTTTTCTTCAAGATTTGACTTCCTAGACAGAAGGTCCATTGGAGGCTGCTTCTCCAGGTCATAAATTGTGTGAGTGTTCACTCTCAGATTAGGAAAACTGTGTTGCTTAGCGGGACATGTGACTAGGTCAGAAGTCTCTCAATTTCGATGTTCAATGTCACAACCGGCCTTAGTTTCACTGTTATTCATCAACCACCTAAACAATAAAATTAATATGTAGATCTGAATGTGTCTCATTCCTTACATCTCTTTCTCAGTTGGTTCAGGACTTAGGCAGAGAAAACAAAAATGGCATATTCGATGCTCAGTCAAATACCAATATAACATAAACAAAGAATAATAATGTGATGGTTACTTAGAGAAAGGTTAAATGAAGCTTTTTGTGGAGTTTCCATATAGACATGACTTTCAAAATGAAACTTATAAAAATAGTAATATGTGCTAGATAGAAGAAAGTCATAGGTAGAAAGCCTTTTCCAAGTATAAAAGTTTCTAAATCCAAATTGTATCTGCAATTTATTCTATCTGATAAAACTTTTATTAAGGTAAATAAATGAGAGATTCAAGTTCCAAATATGCAGTGTGTTGATGTTGTTATTCGTCCCATGATCCTAAACAATTCTCAGCCATTCTTTAAGACAGATCATAGTTCTTCTTCTCTATAGACTTTTCTAATTTATCAAATAATAAAATATAGTTTTTTTTCCAAATTTCTGCACAACTTCTTATATTTCATATTTTTATCCTTTTTCTGTTTGTACTGAACTGTTGTTTAAATATTTCACTTTTCATATAATTCTTCTGTTGTTTAAATTGTATCACATTAGCTGAATTAAGCTTTTCATGGAAACTTCACTGAGGATTATAAATCTTCGTATTTTCACAATATTGTGTACTGCCTCTTAGATTTAGTGCATAACTTAATTATCTATTGTTGGTTATATCTTTTAATGTGAGCATAGCAGAAATTCAATTGTAATGAAAAATAAGGCAAATAATATCTTATATTTTAGCTTTATTCTCAGCTAAATAATCTGATCAGAAAATGGACTGTGTAGTACACAGTGAGAAATGCATACTCATAAAGCGCAAAGTGAATAAGAAAGTTGAGGGTATAGAATTTTTATGAGACAAAGTATGTACTCATCCAATCAGTCACTCAATAAATATTTATCCATAGACTACTCTGTGGTACGCACTGTGCCTCATGCTGAGTACAAGATCCTGGGAAAGTCTGACATGCTCTCTGTCTTCATGAACTTAGAGTTTAAAGAGAAATAGCTAAATAGAAAAAGTAACGACAATACATTTGATGAACTGTTGTGACAATATATTTACTGATTTTTTTAATTCTTTATGAAGAAGTCTATAGATCAGATACCGAAGTCTTACACACATTTATTTTCAGCAAAGAAAGTGATAAGAATGGAATTTATTATGTTAGTGTGGCAGTGGATGAATTAATATATGTATGGGGTGAGCTGGAAGTTTGAAATTTAGCAGGCTTTCCTAAATCCCAAACTGAATTCATACATTAAGTAGTTCAAATATTGGAGAAACAGCCTTTCACAAAAAAGAAAGGCAGTATGACCACGGTGAGGCAAAGTCAAGCAAAACAAGAATACATCTTTCCATCCAGCAGATAACTTGAATGTGCACCAAAAATGGCAGTATTCTCGTCTTCAGGTAGAGCCTCCATTATTTGACTATCCTTGGCCACTATGTGTCTGTACAAGAAAATTAGAGTAGAGTGAAGCTTTATGTGGAGAACAAGTATTTTAGAATGTAAGAACAAAAACAGATACAAAATGTGTTTTCATTAATAAATCATTTAAGTAATTTTAATGTGTCCTCATAAAAGTCAACTTAATTGACTAATGTTCAAATAATTTTTAAAAAAGGATTAATACATAATTAAACAATTGTTCCATATTAATCACATTTGAAAATTTTCAACTATAGCTAGGAATTACCTTCAATTAGGGGGGCAGCTAAGGAAAGAAAATGAAAAGTGGGTCAGAGAATCAACAAATATGGAGATGTATAATGCAGTATGCATGGGTATGATTTGAGAGTTGTATAAGATAAACTGATATTACAAGTTTATAAATTCAGTTGGAGAAGATATGAGTAATTTGAGCAGGGAAATTTTGTCCAAAAGTGTTTTATTCTGCGTTTGTTGAAATTATATGCATGTTTAAGATCCAACAAAAGAATTCTGACAATAGATGTATAATTTTTCACATATATTTTTGATATAATTTATATATCTTTCCATACATATATTCAGAAGAAATAGATAAAATAGATGAAAAAGTAAAATAGATAGCAAATACACTTAAATAAAAATGGATCATTTACCCTATGGTTTAAGCTTCTGACATAGAATCTTTTAGGAAATTTCTATGTACTTATAAGGCAAGTTATATCCTTATATTTGCACTATTATCTTATTAATCCGTCTAGATAATTATTATTTTAAAACTTTTATACACACCAAAATACCTTTCCAATATGTATCTTTTTTATAGTATAAGAAAATTATCTTACATATTAGTATTGATACAACAAACTTTTAACTTTCCTGATAATATTTGAATTTAATAAAATACTTTGAAATGCTTTAATTTTCTCCACAAATCACTGGGGTGTGGGAAAAAAATTGATAGAATTAATCTATTATTCTATTTATCTGTGGAACAGAGACTGGATAACTGGAAAAGCTGTTTCTGAGTCCTGGCTTGCTAACTGAATATGCTCATATCAGTTATTGGCAGCACCTGTCATCTGCTTTGTGTTCTTAGATGCAACATAAATCTTTTTACCTAATGATATCTCTATGAGAGTACAGGAAATGCCATATTGGGTTATACTTATGATCCTTCTAATCCTAAGTTTGTTTTGATAAGGATTTCTAGGGCTGCCTTATGGAAAGATATGCCTTATAACACATGACATTAAGCAATACCAATTAAAGACACATTGAACACATCTCAACAATGGCATGTGTTTATTTCTACTCCATACCTACATCTTACTATTATGATTATAACAGAATAAAAGCAGTATAATAATGTCAGGCTCAAACTGAGGTCCGACGGGAGTCGGTGGGTGAGTGGTGGGTAGCTGGAAAAACACTCGAGGAATTGTAGACAGTTTCTACATGGCTTTATTTTTTTTCTGGGTGTGAGTGAGCTTGGAGTTGAGCAAGCCCAGGCACAAGCCATATGTCCAGCATTAGCAGGGTAACGTTGCTTTTATACACATCCTTTTTACACACCATTTATACACAATCATGGCTCTGAGTCAAGCATGAGCTCATGTGGGTGATCACCTAATGTGCCTCACGTGGCATGGTTTACAAAATGAGGGGAGTTGTGCACCTGCGTTCCAAACTCGCTCAGTCATGCTGGACTGAATGTCTGCCTCGACCTATTCTTGACCACAGCACATCCATTTCCTTAACACCTCACCCCTTAGGCCAAGGGAGACATAGGACTTGGACACACAGGTCTAACACATAGGCCTTATACATACGTTCTGGGCACACAGACCCCAGACACAAAGGTCAGACATATAGGCCTTGTACATTAAGCCAGGTTTTTATTTCACTACCTTGAGGATCACTGGGGCAGGCAGCAACCAGTTACTGTTCAGCCCCATACCTGGTCAGAGGAGGTCATCCTTCCTCTTACAGTTCTTGCCACATGCCCTGGCCCCACATGGGCCGGTGACCAACTAGTCACTTTTGTAATTTCTAAGTGATTAACCACAAGGCTTAGCCTCAATAAACACAGCTGTCAGTGCAGATTATCATAGGTGTCACCTCCTTGATGATCACTATTCATATTGTTCTGAGTTCAGCCCATTGACTACTTTGTCCACAACCAGTATCAAACCATATGTTGTCAGTAATAGTCTGGACTGTGACAGCAGTCCAAGCAACAGCAGTACGCTGGCTAGACCAATCTGCATACCATGCCCATCAGGAATGGGGGGCAGGGGAGTGCCTCAGGCACCATGGCCTTATGCCCCAAGGCCTTATCTTGCATTAGGACTACAGGTCCCAAGACTTCCTGCAACTCTGCTGCTAAGGGGCTTGTGTTGAGTGTACACCACTGCTCCAAGTAGGTGCCCCACATTGCTAAAGTGAATGTGCACCATCCCACTCTGGAGGATCATTACCCATAAATGCACGCATCCAGCTATCAGGTAAGTTGTCCACACGACAACTACAGCCCATCCTGTCACACTCTCACAAGCCCGAACAGCAGCATATACAGCTGCTAGCTGTTTCTCTGTCAAAGAATACTGGAGCTCAGCTCCCTTCCACAGTTGGCACCAAAAGCCTACTGGCATTCTCAAGCACTCTGTGTGCTGCCACAGGCCCCAACCAAAACCATCTGTGGTCACATGCACATCCAGCTCAAATGAGTGCCCTGGTCAACTACCCATAGGGCTTGTGCCTGCTGAATAGCCCACTTGACTGCCAGGAAGGTGGTCTCAGCTGCACTATCCCAATGTCAGGCAAACTAGCATCGCTGCTTCTAAATCTGAAAGCAAATCAGAGGTTAACATAAGATTATAAACAAGACCATGACATACGGTGGGGCTACTCATATAGCCATGTGGCAACATTCTGAAAGTCCATTGTTGCTCTCTCATGAAGGCAAATAGTTCCTGCCTCTCTAATAAAAAAAAAAAAATTGCATTAGCCCTGTTCATCACATAGTGGTACTGTCCCAATTCTGTCATCAAGAAGTCCATCAATTCCAAGATAGATGGCACAGCTGCCAAGTCATGTAAAACGTCCACCCCCAGAATACATCTGTTCTGGTGTCTACCAGCACCAGAACTTGTTGTACATTGGTGGGAGACCAGTGGGTTGCTAATTTCACATGCGGCCTCCACTTGTCTGGTGTCCTCCCAAAGCCAGGCACCTCGGCCAGTTCCCTCATCAAACAGAAAAAGGTTTTACTCCCCCGCCTGGCTGCAGCACATAGTCTTTGAGCCAGAGAACCTGGGCGGGACCAGATCACACAGCAATGTCTTTCTCCCCTTGGGCATTTTCTGGAATTGCTGCTCGGTAGACAACTGTCTCCACAAAGTTAGGAGTACTTCATTGGGCTGTTTATCGATTTTCTCTCAGTGAGTCTCGGCCAAAATCAAATCACATATGTGAGCATGTTACTCATTGGGACCCCCTTTTCTCTTGTGGGGGACCCCCTTCTTTATGGCACAGACCCCCTCATTCCCACCCAGAGCTTCCAGGCCTGCATACACAGCATCCTCTAATTCCTTTTTCAAGCTCTGTAGCTGAACTTCTAGGTGGCCCGCCTGCGTCTGGAGATCCCCATTCACGGAAGTTTCTAACTTCTTTTCTGAGCTGTGTAACCTGTAATCGGACCTCCAGGCACCCCACATGTGCCTGGAGGGCCCTTACCTGGACTACATCCCTCAGGGACTGGGTGTGTACTTCTCTTAGCGCACTCAAAAGTGCCCATCCAACTCTACCGGCAAAGGTTCATTCCTTTTCACTGCTCTGTGCTTCCAGTTGCCTCAATACTTTCTCTATGCTTGTGGGTGACCCATCCACCACCGCCCAGGTTTCCACCAGAGCCCATCAGAGCAGCAAAGCTGCCAGCAGGTACCACAACTCCTGTTGCGGCCACATGGCCAACCTGGAATCAGTGGGGACCAAAGCCTCACTCACTCTGGGATCCTGTTCGTTACACCAATTGTCAGGTTCTAACTGAGGCCCAAAGGGAGTTGGTGGGTGAGTGGCAGGTAGGTGGAAAAACACTCGAGGAATCGAAAACAGTTTAGACATGGCTTTATTCTCTCTCTGAGTGCAAGCAAGCCCGGGTGCAAGCCTGGGCACGACCTGTATGTACAGTGTTAGCAGGGTAATTATACCTTTACAGAAAATAGTGGCTCTGAGCCAAGCACAAGCTCATGTGTGTGATCACCTAATGTGCCTCACGTGGCATGGTTACACAATGAGTGGAGTTGTGCGTCTGTGCTCCAAACTTGCAGAGTCATGCTAGACCGGATGTCTGCCTTGACCTATTCTTTACCACAGTACATCCATTTTCCTTACAAATAGATTGAGCAAAAAGAATTTAAAAGTGACCACAGCAAATGATGAATGCCAAGTTATTCTTTAAGATGGTCCATGGATGAATGAATGATAGTTGACTTACAATTAAAGCTTCTTTTTTTCTTGCAGTAGCCTACAGTAGAGAAGTACAACAAATATGCACACACCTTCGTGCTACAAAATTCAACAATGTTAGGTAACAGTGTCTTTAAAAGTGTGTAATTGAAAGGGACTAAATAGAGGAGAATTGGTAGAAGAATTATTGAAGACATGGAAGACATATTTGGATCTCAAATATGTTCTGTCTAAGTCAAACAGCCTAGCGATTGCCTATTCTGCAGTGACAGAGGATAGGTTTATTGTTAGTGAAATCTGAACAGGAGAAATTTCAAACTTTGGGAAAACATGTCCTGACAAAAGAGATAAAGAAATGTCTTTTTTTTTTTTTTTTAGATGGAGTCTCGCTCTTTCGCCCAGGCTGGAGTGCAGTGGCGAGATCTTGTCTCACTGCAAGCTCCACCTCCCGGGTTCACGCCATTCCCCTGCCTCAGCCTCCCAAGTAGCTGGGACTACAGGCGCCCGCCACCACGCCTGGCTAATTTTTTGTATTTTTAGTAGAGACAGTGTTTCACCGTGTTAGCCATGATGGTCTCGATCTCCTGACCTTGTGATCCGCCCACCTCAGCTTCCCATAGTGCTGGAATTATAGGCGTGAGCCACGGCACCCAGACCAGCCCTCCTTTTTTTATTAGCTTCTACAATGCTGACTTTCAGACTCAAACCCATTTAGTAATAAGAGAGAATTTCTTCTGTAAAAAAAAAAAAAATGAGTAAGCCTGAGAAGTATGTATTTCCAACTCTGGTATTTGAGAATCCTTCACTGAAAATGGTGAATTCTCATTAGATCACTTTATTATGCACACCAGTTGACAAAATCTGAATAAGCAGACAAAGGTTCACCCATGTGTAAGAAAAACTATACAAGGTTAACTGAGAATTTCAAAAGATCTTACAAAATAACAGGGACAAAAATACAAATAAACAAATATATAGCACAGAAATACATAGAGCAAAAGAAAAGGAAACATATTTATGTAATATAAATAATATTTTCAAATATAAGAAACATTACTCTCCCCATTAGCCAAGGGTAGAATGTCTCTAAAAAACAATGCTGAAGATCACTAATCATCAGAGAAATGTGAATTAAAACCATGATGAGATATCTTCTCACACATCGGAATGGTTATTATTAAAAAGTCACAGAAATAACAGATTTTGGCATGGATGTGGAGTAAAATTAACACTTACACACATTTGGTAGGAATATAAATTAATTCAACCTCTGTGAAAAACAGCGTGAAGCTTCCTCAAAGAACTAAAAGTGCATCTACGATTTGACCCAGCAATCTGGCTACTGGATATCTACCCAAAGGAAAAGAGTTCATTATATTAAAAAGATACCTGCACACGCATAAAAATGTGAAAAAAGAAAAGGTATTATAACTAATAAGTGAGTTAAAAAATTAAGGAGGATACCAAGTCAGTGCATGAAAATCAATTGTATCTTTATATATACAAATACACACACACACACACACACACACACACACACACACACCATGGAATACTGCCCAACCAAAATAAAAGAATAAAATAATGCCTTTTGTAGCAACTTGGATGGAGTTGGAGGCCATTATTCTAAGTGAAGTCACTCAGGAATGAAAAATCTAATACCACGTGTTTTCACTTAAGTGAGTGCTAAGCTATGAGTACACAAAAGCGTACTGAGTGGTATAATAGACATTGGAGATTCACAGTGGGGAGAAGGAGGGGGAGTGAGGGATGCAAAAAAAGCATCTTGAGTACAATGTACAATATTCAGCTGACAGATGCATTAAAACCCTAGACATCACCACTGTACAATTAATCCATGTAACCCAAAAATACTTGTACCCCTAAAGCAAAGCAATTGAAATAAAAATAGAATTTAACTAAATAGAAAAGAAATTAAAAATTGAAATATAGAAAATAGTAGAAAACCAATTCTGAAGATGCTGGGAGGTAAAATATTGAAATAATATAATGTCCAAATAAAATAAGCAGAAGAAATAAAAAATAAGAATAAAATAAAATATTGAAGATGCCCCCAATAGTATAACAACATAAATTAAAAAGATCCACATAATAGCATACTATGGTCAAATTTTGAGAACATTGGGCCTAAAAAGGAATAAAAGATTGTGTCATTCTAGATTTCCACATTACAGTTACTGCACTATAAATAAGAACTTCAAAAAAAGTCTATCCATTTTTTACATATACTAATTTGTCCTCTGTGACTTATAATCTTGGATGTTTCAGGAGTCGTAAGAGGTTTCCACTGGAAATTATCTAGTATGTAGTAGAAATTAATTATTGCAGTATGCCTCAGGATTAGCTTTGGTTGTTGTTTAGACAAAATGCTTCATTAACTATATTTTATTGGTCTAGATTTTCTGTCTGAACATTCTCATTCACTCTCATACTACCACAATGTAATTATGATGCTCAAAGTATTTTTTAACTCTCAGCTCATTCCCCATTTTAAAATTTCCTTTTACTGAACATCTAATTAAGATTAACTCATTGGTACTTCAGAACCGCTATATAGTAGTCTGCCTTGTCTGAATTACTGTATTATTGAGGGGGAGGAAATTCTAGTTGTCTCAGCAATACTATTCACTCCTTCCTAATAACAAACACTTATATTTGTGGCAATGTGTCAAGCTAAAATATTACATTTCACAGACTCCCATGTTTTGAGACATGATCATGAAATTAATTTCTGCTCAATATAAGTTGAATTGTTTGCATTAGATTACTGATAATGCTTCTTAAAATTGAGACAGGTAGCTAAGACACATTATTTTTTTCTTTTTTCTTCACTTCCTGCCTAAAATATGTGTTTGATATGGATAACATGAACAGTTGTATGCCTATTGAAGAAACTGCAACTAGTTAAAAACTTTCTCACAAGGGAAGCTCCAAGCCCAGAATATTTCATTGGTGAATTATATCAACTTTTTAAGAATGAAGCAACACCAATTCTACCCAATTTTTTCAAAACATAGATGAGTGAACATTGTCCAACTCACTTTATAAGGCCAAGATGAATTTAATAAAACAGCAAAATATCACAAGAAAAGAAAAAAATAATAGATGCAAGCATCTTCAAAACATAATAGCAAATCACATTAAGTAACATATAAAATAAATAATACAGCATTACCAAGAGGAGTCTATCCTAAAAATGCAAGGCTGGTTCAACATTCAAAAATCAATCAATTTAACTCACCATATTAACAGAATGAAGAGAAGAAATTCTATAGCCTTATCAATCAGATGTATAAAAGGCATTGCCAATATTCAAAGTTTACTAATGATAAATATTTTCAGCAAACTACAAATAATAGGAGAAATTTTAAGTTGGAATAAAGACAACTCAAAAAGATTAACTTTATTCAACATCATATAGAACCTAAAAATGACTGGAGCCTTTCCCCCTTTAGTTCTATTATCTCTCTTATTCAATAATGTAATAGAAGTTCTAGAAAAATCTTGCATATTTAAAAAATTTAAAAAGATATTTGTATTATAAACAATATGAATGTCTACTAAACAGTATATGAAAAAAGGTATTATAACCAATAAATGAGTTAAAAAATTAAAGAGGATACCAAGTCAGTGCATGAAAATCAATTATATCTTTATATACTCCCAATGAATCATTAACATATGAAATAAAAAATAGCACAATATATAGTGATAACAAAAATAAAATGATTAGATATGAATCTAAGTGAATACAATATGTCTTTGCTGAAAACTACAAAACACTAAGGAATAGGATCAAAATAGACCAAAATAAAGTGAGAGGCTGGAGACTAAATATTGTGATAATGACTACTCTTCCTAAATTGTTTTATAGATAAAATATATTCCTAATAAAAATCATTGTGGGTTTTTTTTTGATATTGATAAGTTGATTCTAAACTTAGTAAATAGGCAAAACCATTCTACTAAAGAGCAAAAATAAAAAACTCACATTATTTGATTTCAAGGCATACTACAAAATTACAATCATTACCAGGAGAGTATAACTGCAGCAAAATAAAAAACACGGAGGTTGATCGAACGACAGCATGGAAGAAGACCCAAACAAATATGGTCAACTGATTTTTTTACAAAAGCACAAAGATATTTCTGTGGAGAATGGAAAGTCTTCTCAAGAAATTGTGTGGGAACAATTGGCTGTCCACATGAAAAACAACTTAACTTCAAATCACACCTGATACCTGATACAAATATTAACACATAATGAAACATAGACCAGAAAGAAAAATCTAAAGCTATAAAATTGCCAGAAGAAATAATAAGATAATAATTCTGTGAACTTTTTAAGGCAATATATTTTTTGATAAAACTTTTAAACACAATCTGTAAAAGAAGAAGATAAATTGTATTTTATTAAATTTTATGACTTTCTTCTGTGAAAGGCAACATTAAGATAATTCAAATACAAGCCACAAAATATGATAAATTATTTGTATATCATAATTCTGTCAGAATACTTTATTCTTAATATATAAAAACGTTATTAAATATTTATTAAATTATTAAAAACTCAGTAAGAAGAGCATAAAAACTCAACTAAGAATGGGCAAGGCTGGGAGGGGTGGCTCATGCCTGTAATCCCAGCACTTTCAGAGGCCAAGGTGGGTGAATTACGAGGTCAGGAGATCAAGACTACCCTGGACAACATGGTGAAACCTGTTTCTACTAAAAATACAAAAATTAACTGGGCATGGTGGCGCAAGCCTGTAATCCCAGCTATTCGGGAGGCTGAGGCAGGAGAATCGCTTGAACCAGGGAGTCGGAGATTGCAGTGAGCCGAGATCACGCAACCACTGCACTCCAGCCTGGTGACAGAGTGAGACTCAGTCCAAAAAAAAAAAAAAAAAAAAAAAAAAAAAAGAATGGGTGAAATTTGTTTCACCAATGGTGATACATAGAGGATAAATAAGCATATGAAAATATACTCAACATCATTTGCTACTAGGAAAACAGCAATTAAAACTATAAGGAGGTACCATCATGGAGTTAAATTTTTAAAAAGAAAAAAATTATATATATATATTTATATTATACATATATATCAGATATATCACATTCTGGCAAAAAACGTTAAACAAATGAAACTTATATTGCTGGTGGAAATGCAAAATACTACAGTCACTTTTAAAGATAGTTGGAAGTTTCTTTTACAGTTGAAAATATACTTACTCTATGATTCTGAGAATCAACAGGACAGATACATATATATATACAGAGAGAGAGACAAAGAGAGAGAGAGAGGGAGAATAGAAATTGGCTCAAGCAATTATGGAGTGCAAGAAGTCCCAAGATCTTCCATCTTCAACCTAGTAAACTGGGAAAGCCAGTGGTATAATTCTGTTCCTGGCCATATGCCTGAAAACCAGGGGAGCTGATGTTCAAGGGCAGGAGATCGATTTCCCAGCTAAAAGAGAGTGCAAATTTGCCCTCCTGCACCACGTTTTTTTTCAGTTTGGCTCTCCATGGATTGGATAATGTCCACTGCATTAATGTAGGCAATCTTCTTTATTTAGTCTACTGATTCAAATGCTAATCTCTTCCAGAAACACTCTGACAGACACACCCAGAAACAATGTTGTACCAGCTGTCTGGACATCCCTTAGCTCGCTAAGGTTGACACCTAACTCTGAACATCATACCCGGAAATCTCCATCCTTAATACAAAATAAATAAAAATGTATAATTGCAAAAGATCAGTACATTCATATTTACTAACTTTATACTCTTCATTAATAACTTTATTCATAATTATCCCAAACTAGATATGCCCTAGATGTCTTTAAATTGGTGACTAGATACACAACCTATGGTACATCCATAAAATAGACTACTAGTCATCAATAGACATGCACTCTACTATCACCTATGTGTGTGTGTGTGTATGTGTGTGTTATGTGTGTGTGTGTGAGAACACAGGTAGATAAGCAGATGGATTAGTCATGCATATAAACTTCAGATAAGTCCAAAGATTGGAACAGAAATAAGTCCGTATAAGATTTTGTGGTGTAGGGAGGATGGATTATAAAGGGAAGCACAAAGGTATATTTAGGAGGTGATTGAACAGCTTTTTATACTGAATGCGGTAGTGAATACACAATTCTATGCAGTTGTTAAAACCTAAAGCGCTGTGAAACACTACATTTTACTATGTATGAATGTAAAAAAATAGATAGAATGTACATGAACCCAAAATAAATTTCAAACCATAGCAACTAAACATGAGTATATTAACCACACCGAAAGGGATTGAGATTAAAACAACTAACCTGTTTTTGAAGAAGGATATTTTGATTAGATAATGTAAAATTAAGGACAAAAAACTTAAACACTATATAGATGTATGAGTTAGCAATTCTCAAAATAATGTATATGTATACCAGGGTGTGGTATCACTCAAGAAATTGTTGCCTAGTCCAATGTCCTGGAGAGTTTCTCAAAGTTTGCATTTGTTAGTTTCATTCCTTAAGATGTTGGATTTAATTCTCTAATGAATTTTTATTTGATTTTTGTATATGGTGAGAGATAAGGATATAGTTTTATTGTTCTACATATGGATAGCCAGTTTCCTAGCACCATTTATTGAAGAGACTGTCGTTTCCTCAATGTATGTTCTTGGTGCCTTTGTCAAAAATGAGCTCACTGTACTTGTATGGATTTATTTCTCTGTTCTCGATTCTGTATCATTGGTCCATGTGTTTATTTTTATGCCCATATGATACTGTCTTGGTTATCATAGCTCTATAGTGTAATCTGAAGTCTGGTACTGTGATTCCTTCAGTTTTGTTCTTTTTTTCCAGGATAGGTTTGGCTACTCTGGGTCATTTTTGGTTCCATATAAATTTTAGGATTTTTTCTAATTCTGTGAAGAATGTCATTGGTATTTTGATAAAAATTGTTTTGAAAATGTAGATTGTTTGATTAGCATGGAAATTTTAATTACCTTGATTATTCAAATCCATGAACATGGAATATCTTTCCATTTTCTTGTGTCCTATTCAATTTATTTGATCAAAGTTCTATAATTTTCACTGTAGAGATTTGGTTAAGTTTATTTTTAGGTATTTTATTTTATTTGTAGTGGTTGTAAATGAAATAACGTTCTCGATTTCTTTTTCAGATTGTGCAGTTGGCATATAGAAATGCTACTGACTTTCATATGTTGATTTTGTGTCCTGTAACTTTACTGAATTTGTGGTCAGTTCTAATAATTTTTGGTGGAGTCCTTAGGTTTTCCAAATATAACGCCATATGATTTGCAAACAAGGATTACTTGACTTCTTATTTTCCAATTTGCATGCCCTTTATTTCTTTCTCTTGTCTGATTGCTCTAACTAGGTCTTCCAGCACTATGTTACATAACACTGGTAAAAATGGGTATCCTTGTGTTCATGAACTTAGATAAAAAGTTTTCAGTATTTGCCCACTCAGTATGATATTAGTTGTGAATCCGTCATATAAGGCTTTTATTGTGTTGAGGTATGTTCCTTCCATACACATTATTGAGGGTTATTATTATAAAGAGATGTTGAATTTTATTAAATGCTTCTTCAACACCAAGTGAAATGATCATATGTGTTTTTTTCCTTCATTCGTTTGCTATGATGTATTGTATTAATTAATTTGCATATATTGAAACATCCTTGCATCACTGGGATAAATCCAACTTGGTGATGGTGAAAGATCTTTTTAATACGTTGTTTAATTCAGTTTGCTAGTATTTTGTTAAGGAATTTTGCATCAATGTTCATTAGGTATCTTGTTCTGCAGTCTTTTTTTTTTAAAAAAATATGTCTTTGTCTTGTTTTGGTGCCAAGATAATACTGGCCATGTAGAATGAATTTGGAAGTATTTGGTCCTTGTTAAGTAGTTTTATGCAGTAAGTGCTATGGTCCATTGAAGAGTTTTAGAAAACTCTTTTTAAAAGTGTATCAGTTTTAGAAAACTCTTTAGAAAAGTATATCTGTTTAGTGGCAATTAGAGGAATAGTATGAAATGACTAAGAATAGAGGCACTTGGAATGAAGAAGATTATGCTTATTTAAACATATTGAGAAGGAAAAAATATAAACAGTACTTTGGTGTGATTTGACATGGTGGCATGGAGCAGGGGATGGGAAGATACTCATTCTAGGAAGGCTGCTGGCAAGGACAGAGTGCTAATAAATACTAAAGAAAATAAAGACTATATAGAGAAGAAGGAGGTAAAATGATTAAGCTGCAAACATTTTCAAATGTAAATTCTTGTGAAAGACCATATGGAAAATAGATAGAAGAATCAATAGTCAAGTCCCAAATTAGGAGAGGCTTTGACTTGATAGAGAGGAAATGCACTCATCTAAGATAAGTACATACAGAAGGGTGATGGGCCAATGGGTTCACCTTGTGGAATACAAAAGTACTTTGTTAGAACAAGAACACTGACCCAAAATGATAAATAAGTATTTTCCCCTTATAGGTCTTGAAATATAAGTTTCCTTTGAGTTTTAACCACCAGAAAGCTTAACATAAAAATATTGTTTAAAAATAACAATTGCATAATGCCTTATGACTTAATTTTCTCTGTTTCCACTTTAAAATTCATGAATATTGATCTAAAATCATTTTTAATCTTTATAATCTTTTAATATTATATTTCAAGTAATTGCTACAAAGATTTGTAAAACACTTTGTGTAAAATATTGTGGCTACAAATAAGGTAACTTACTGAATAAACAAATTAAAAATGATTAATAAATATATATTGTTGGACTAGAATCAATGAAGGTTGGCATACCTACCTGTTGCAATACTGACCCTGGGAAATTTTACAGAGTCTACAATGTAGTCTCATTTCATATTTATCTTAAGGTGAATCAAGTCCTTGTGCTATTTCTGTGACAAGCAGCAATCAATTCAAGAGTAGATCTATTATAACATGTGCTGCAGAAAAATTAGGATCTGTGAGAGAAAGAAATCTTAACATAACTCCGTATACACTACTTATTTCTCTCCTTCAAACAATCCAACAACTACCTCTAGCTTGCCCTGGTGTCTCTGAGTGTTGGGGTAATTTAAAAAGACAGAGTAGTCAAGCTTTCAGACACATAAAAATGATGTTTGATCTTATAATGGCCTCCAGCATCAGGCCAGCTGTTCTCTGTCTGGGGACTTGCCCTTTCTATATTTCTATATTTTAATCGAATGGGGGCCATAACCAGCCCTAGGAACAAGAGAAAAGAAATGCTTAATGTTTTTCAACATTTTTTTAAATGAGGAAACCATTCACAATAATATTTATTTTTCCTTTTCTGTATATTATGAAGGTTCAAGAAAGTCATTTTTCTTTGGTTTGTGGTTGACTGAAAATGGAAAGGCTTATATCTGGCTCATTCTTAACACTTAAGTCTTGAGATGAAAAGGATTTTCTATGAACCTTTACTGTGGGGCATGCCGTGAATTTTGTATTCCATTCCTAGGTTCCAGGAGGCAATGAAAATCTAAAGCTCAAGTTCATCAAAATAAACAATTGCCATAAGCCTGAAAGCTGTCTTCATTGCTTTTGTTTTTTCATCTCGCTAATCTCCTAACCTCAAGGATTCGAAAGATAACTATTTCTTTGAGCTCCCTGGTGCATTTAAGAAGAGTTGTTTCCCAACCCCACCACCATCCCCACACCCAACCGCCTGGACTGTTTGTGGGACTTTTATTTTTGCAAGGGAGGTAATTCAGATACTTAAAGAGCTCTATTGCTAGAAATAAAATTTCTAGATAGTTTTTAGCCATTTTAGCCTCAGTTCAAAGATAAACTCTTTTCTGACATCTTCACTAACTCTCCAAAGAAAAATTAATAAACTACTCACTGATATCTCACAATACTTGTTTAAATACCGTACTTTTATGTTTCATGTTACATTGCAAACTTTCTATTCAAATACCTGAGCTTCCATTAGATGTGCACAATTGTTATTCAACTTTGCATCCCAGAGTCTTATACTTTGTATTTTGCTATAACTTGATGACTGGTGCTCCTAAAAGACCTTATATTAAAAGAAAATTTTGAAATTAAGTAACTGTTTCAATTGAAAACAATAACAATATCTATTTATTATAATAATAATATAAATAGGCTGCTGCCACAAACTCCTTTAGACTCATAACAAAATTATTTTTTCTTTAGAAATGTCAATTTTATAGCAGTCATTATTTTGTTATTTTTTGAATTAAAAATGATAAATCAGTTGATGGAAACTGGAAAAAGCCTACATGATTTTCCATTTGACCTTTTTCTATACTCTGATGGGTGTCACAGTCCCTTTAATCACCTTTCACCTGAGCCTGGCATTTGCTTTGCATCAGCTCATACTTGTAACATGTAAATAAAAGGAACACAAAGGAAACAAAATAACCTCTTTTCACCAGAACAGTTAATAGCTCAAATGCATCACTAAATTTCTATGTTTTGTTAAGTTACAGCTTTTATTCTGCTTCAGTCCTGCTCATTATACCCAATACCAGGTCTTGGATGCAGATACTGTCTCCTAAGTAATAAGTCATGTTATTTCCATTTTGTACAATAAAACAACACAATTTGGAAAAATAATTTTATGGTGCAAGGCTTGTATTGGGTGCTTAATTCAAGATTGTTCAGTCAATGATAATCTGAAAAGAGTTTGTGAGACTGCATTTCAGCCTATTGAAACTTGAAGCAACCTACTATTATTGTATAATAATAACATTTATCATGTAATTTTATAGTTTAAGGAATATTTGTGGATTCACAAAAGACTCATTGTCATTTCTGATTCAACTAAGAATAAACAGATATACTAACATGATGAGGCCTAAGGGATCTTTGTACGTGACACTGAAAAAGAGCTCACTGGCAAAAGCAATAGATTCTTTTTCATTAGGTACAAATGATACATCCAAGGATCATTTTCCAGGTTGCTGAGTATTTTTTTTTTCTACTACATTGGAAAAGTTGATGATCTTTAAACTGAAACAGTAGTATGAGATTTTATTATATATCAAATGAATTATGTTCTGGTTTCATCATCAATCATTGAGGTAAACATTACATTGCTTTTGATCTAAAAACAAAGTAAACATGTTCATTTATAATCAGAAGACTTAACATTAAGTTATAATAATCTTACAAGTTATATAGCCTATGAATTATAATCTTAGGGGAAAACAGGAACAATAGATCTATAACTACAAGGATAGATTTGTTAACTGAATATGCCATTTTATGGAAAATACTCAGGGATGTGTTGCTATGCCATTTCTACCAAGAAACTAATCAAATTTGTAATCTGGATTTCCTTGTGGTTCAATTTATATTTTTTATTTTTTTCACTGGACTATAATCCTCTCCACTCAGTAACAGTTTTGATGTATTCATTTGACCTTGTAACTGATGCTACAGATAAAAAAGCAAGTTTATCATTTTTGAAAAATTTATTATCAAAAGAAAATGCTGGATAAATTAGCTCTGATTTTCTTACTAAGGATTACCTCAACAGACTAAATAGTATGATTTATTAAAATTTAATAATAAACACACATGCATTAAGAATTATGCCATGAATATAAACTTATATTCATTTGTATATATTATATATATTAGAAGAAATCTATTTTTATCATATGCTTAATTATTTTATCAAGATCCTCTATAAAATAAACCTCATGAGGAAAGTATTAACTGCTAAGCACATAGAAGGCACACATATATGTTGAAAGGATATTTCTTCAAGCAATCAGGTAATTGTATATATGCATTATAGATTTCAAAAATACTTATACTACTACAGTGAAAGATACAAAATCTTTCTCCAGAAATATCATTTCACATACTTTGAATTATCTTCATATCTTTTTTTTTTTCTTTTTTAGACTGGAAGTCTCCCATTACATTTTTTATTTGTTTATTTATTTATTTTTTTTTTGAGACAATCTTGTTCTGTGGCACATCTGGAGTGCAGTGGCGCAATCTCTGTTCACTGCGACCTCTGCCTCCCGAGTTCAAGCAATTCTTGTGCCTCAGCCTCTGGAGTAGCTGGGATTACAGGTGCCAGCCTCCATGCCCAGCTAATCTTTGTATTTTTAGTAGAGACAGGTTTTCACTATGTTGGCCAGGCTGGTCTGGAACTCCTGGCCTCAAGCCATCTGCATGCCTTGGCCTCCCAAATTCCTGGGATTAGAGGGGAAAGCCACCACACCCAGCCCATATTTTATTTTTATTTGAACTCTTATTCATATCTGGGTGAAATTTTGTTATGGGTATTACATATTTCCAATTTTAGAATCAAATTCATCAATTTACATTATTTTATAATTTCAAATATTTTCAAATATTTACAATCTGTCAGGAAATTTTTTTCACGTAAATGTTTACATCTTAAATTTGTTAGTGGTTTTAAGTCCTAATAGAATATGTGGTCTTTTTTTACTCTTTCCCATTCCAACAAGATTTTAATACTTATCACTCTATTTCTATTATTATATTCATTTTAAATCAATAATTATTCTTTTCCTTCAACAAACAAATATTAAATGTGTAACATGTTACAGACATTAGGTATGCACTGGACATAGAATAGTATGCTAGATGAAGTCTATTTCTTCATCAACTTATATTTTAATTTAAAAAAAATTCTGAGAGATTTACATGATTGAATGGAGTAAGTCCCACTAACTTAAATAAAGTATGTACCATTTCCAAACCATAATTTCTGTTGGGGGTAGGCTGTTGAAATTTGAATACATAACCTAGTCTATTTTAACTCAAGACTTTACCCATCTCTTCTATATTTGGTATTTTATCCAAACTATCTCATTAATTATATATAATTTAATTATATTAATGATAATATAAAAATAGAAACATTATGGCTGGGCGCAGTGGCTCACGCCTCTAATCCCAGCACTTTGGGAGGCCGAGGCGGGTGGATCACGAGGTCAGGAGATCGAGACCATCCTGAGTAACACGGTGAAACCACATCTCTACTAAAAATACAAAAAATTAGCCGTGTGTGGTAGTGGTCGCCTGTAGTCCCAGCTACTCCGGAGGCTGAGGCAGGAGAATGGCGTGAACCCGGGAGGCAGAGCTTGCAGTGAGCCGAGATCACACCACTGCACTCCAGCTTGGGTGACAGAGCGAGACTCCGTCTCAAAAAAAAAAAAAAATAGAGACATTATTATTGAATTCCTAGGTCCAAATATAAAACAAGTTTATTATTACAGTATAAGGGATTTGAGTAATTCATTGGAAGCATTTCAAATTATAATAATTTCACTTATGAGAATTCTCTAATACTATAAATATTTAAATGTTCAAGATTATGGTGGACTTGCAGGTTAAACAGGTGGTGATAGAAATAGAATTGCATGCTTATTAACTACAGAGAAGAATATACATCTTAGGTGACTGTTATGAAGGAGAATTTAGATCAACTTCTCTAAAAATATAAACAGGAACTATACAGACAACCTCTTTAAAATATTTTTCTTCTCTTTCTTTAAACAAATTTTGTTGTCTATATTTAAGGTATACAACATGATGTCATTGGATATATATAGATAGTAAAATACTTGTAAATAGCGTACAGATGCAGATGATTAACATAGTAAAGCAAATTAACAAATACATTATTTCACATAACTGCCCATATTTTTGTTTTTGTGTCAGGAGCAGCTAAAATCCACTCATTTGCTGTACTCAAATATAATACAGTTTTATTACTTATATTTCTATGATCATACATTTGATGTCTAAACTTGTTAATCTAATATATCTGCTATTTTATATTCTCTGGCCTACATCTTCCCATATAACTCCTCCACTTCCACCCCTCTTAACCACTGTTTTATTCTCAGCCTCTCTATATTTTACTTTCTATGGTGCCACACATGAGAAAGATCACGTAATATTTTTGTATGTTTGTCTGTCTTATTTCATTTAGCATACTGATCTCCAGCTTTATCAGTGTTATGGGAAATGGCAGAACGCTTAGTTTGTTTCTACATCTTGGCTATTGTGAATGATCTTCTCACTGTAGAATGATGAAAATACTAACAAAACAATTTTCACCTTCTTCTGAAGTCTATTAGTCTTTGGTCTATTGTTAGAAACAATAGTAATTACATAAAACAAATTACATTTTATGTAATAGTAATTACATAAAACAACAGTAATTACATAAAACAAAAAATATTCACCAATTAGATAAAAACATAGCATCCACTCTCAAAACAGGCATAAAATCTGTGTTGTTTAGGTTTCCACTAACTGCAAGTGAGGGAAATCCAACTTTTAGTAGGATATTCATTCACTTATGTAACTGGAGAAGATGTGTGAAGCTTACTTATCTCCATCTTTCAGCACTAGTTTTGCTGCCAACTCTTGTGCTGATAATGAGCTTCTGCTGTGAATGAGAGGCCAAAATATGCTAAAGCATATACTGATCATAAAAACATTTAGAAAATAAAGGAATATTCTAATATATATTATATATAAAAATATACAAAATATATGGCTTTTGAGGGGCTCAGAGGAATCAATGTTTTTATTAATTCCATACGTGTTCATTTAGTGTCTTTAAAAATGCAACATTTATATTAATGCTACAAACAAAAGTCATGTAAAAACTTTGGTAAATTTATAGAAAATCTTTCTTTATTTTAAAATTTACTAAAGTTATACTATGTTCAACATGTCTAATAATTTACTTCTACATAGTTGTACAGTGTTATCACTTGATATTTTTCAAGCCAAAATTTATTTTGTACTTACAATGTGTTAGATACTGTGCTAAGATGCTTATAGCCATCATTAGCTATTTTGATCCTCATAATAACACTTGGAGGTAGGCATTGTTATTCCCATTTTACCCATAAGGAAAACAGGATTTAAGGAGTTTAAATAATTTGCCTAGTGTACACAGCTGAGAAAAGGCAAGACTAGAATTTGAAGCTAGATGAGTTATCTTAAGAATTACATTCCTTATAGTACACACACACATACACACACATACACACATTCACACTTATTTTTCTTGCTAAATAACTCCTTATTAAAGTTTAAAAAATTCTGACAAACTGCTTTAGTAAATGGAGATATATTTATGTGTGTTTTGAGAATGGATTGGGGAGATTAACATTTATGTTCTTCAGTTTATTCATAAAACTAAATTGATATATGGATGGAATGCATTAGGTTAAGTATCAACATATTTTAACTCTTAAAGTTACTTATTAATCGAGTGACTGTATTAACCAGAGTTCTCTAGAGAGACAGAAATAACAGGACATTTTTATATATGAAAGGGAGTTTGTTAAAGAGAATTGACACACATGATCACAAGGCAAATTCCCACAATAGGCCATCTGCAAGTTGAGGAGCAAGGAAGCCAGTGGTGGATCAGTCTGAGTTTCAAAACCTCAAAAGTAGGGAAGCCAACAGTGCAGCCTTCAGTCTGTGGCCAAAGGCCCAAGAGCCCCTGGCAAATCACTGGTGTAAGTCCATGGGTCAAAAAGCTGAAGAACTTGGAGTCTGATGTTTGAGGCCAGGAAGCACCCAGAAGTGGAGAAAAATGAAGCTCAGAAGATTCACCAAGTGAAGTCCTTCCAACTTCTGCCTGCTTTATTCTAGCTGCACTGGCAGCTGATTAGATGGTGTCCACCCAGATTGAGGATAGGTCTGCCTCTCCCAGTCCACTGACTCAAATGTTAATCTCCTTTAATCTCCTTTGGCAGTACCCTCACAGACACACCCAGGAACAATAGTTTGCCTATTTCAATCCAATCAAGTTGACACTCAATATTAACCATCACAGTGACAAATGGTGTTAAAAAGAGAGAGAAATTTCTTTTTCATAAAAAGCTATAGTATGTCAGTATACAGAACTCAAACAGGGTTGATAAAAATGTTCCACACTGTTAAATATTGAGGCCAGTGGCTACTTGTGACTATTAGGCACTTGAAACATGGGTAATGTGACTGAGAAACTGAATTTTACATTTTAGTTTAGCTTTGATTAATTTCTATTTAAATGCTATGGCCACATGGGCTACTATATGGGACAGCATAGCTCTGGTGATCTCATCCAGTCCAAATGATGGCTTCCAAATTATATATTCTGAAATCCTTAATAATATATCTAAGTATATGCTAGACACTTCAACATGAATGTCTGAAAAACATCTGAGACTTAGTCTGTTCAAATCTTGGGTTTCATAGAAAATTATTGGCTGCCAATGCAGTTCCCATCTTCAGCAAAGCATCTGCATAGCCTCTACCTCAAGATGAAAACCTCTAGTCATCCTTGGCTCCCCTCTTTCTCCAAGTACTAACAACCAATTGATAAAAATGTCATGAAGACTTTACCTTTAAAAAGTTAGGAACTTTTCATCAAATCTCAAACTAGACTCTAATCCCAGTGGCATGCCTCTCTTGCCTGAATTACAATACCTAGTTGCTTCCTGACTCATTTCCCTCCTTCCACTCTTACTGCAGCAGACTGGTCTCTTTTATTAGTGTTCTTTGTCTTTGTTTTCAGATCAGATCTCCAAGAACACCAGCATCACCAGTCAACTATGAGTCCAGAGAATGGATCAAATATACTCCTCTGTGAAGCCCTTGAACTTGGTTTGCTTTGCCTGGAATTATCTTCATTCAAATATCCTTGTTTACATTCCTTGATTCCATTAAGGTTTATACTCATATTCATGGCATAAAAATAAATTATAATCCAATATCAACTTTTGAAAGATCCTTCCAAGAGAATTGTCAAATCCATATATGTATTATGTATGTGTGGGTGTGTGTGTGTGTGCGCGCGCGCGCGCGTGAGCATGCGTGTGTGTGCGTGTGTATCAGCCAGCTAGATTGTCATTACAGGCTACA
Source organism: Homo sapiens (assembly GCF_000001405.40). NCBI lineage: Eukaryota > Metazoa > Chordata > Mammalia > Primates > Hominidae > Homo > Homo sapiens. The sequence continues at coordinate 67,328,975 of NC_000006.12, read as the reverse complement.
TATGCAGTGTAACTAATCAAAGAAAAAAATTAAAATATTAAAATACTTACTTTATATCCTTAACGATGATCTAGTTTGATGATAAATAATTAAGAATTTTTTAATGGGAAGTACTCAAAAGTTAACATTAAGTGGCTGTATATTTTCTCTGTACATTAACATTGATATCTCAAATTATTGATTAGCTTGTTTCAGTTGCAAGCCCTGATATCCATAAAAGTTATCTGTTTAAGAATTATGAAACTTTGTTTACTAAATCTATTAATTGCTAGGGTCTTTGGTGTGTTATAACTATTTGATCAATGGCTAAATGAAACTCATATATTCGTATCTGCAGATTCTTTATATATTAGATTAATAAAGTTTAACTGCTTTTCTTTATTTTACGTAATGCATCAATACAGTTTTATAGGCAAATATTTGTTAAACTATTAAGAACAGATGACTACCTTTTAAACTAAAGGCTTCAATGAAAAATGTATAAATATGATGCATGGTGATAATTTTGCCATGTAATCATTTTTACATATGGTTGTGCCATCTTCTACAAATTGACAACTAATGACTCTTTGTGGTACAAGGAAAAAAATTTGTAAATTAAATATATTTTCAAATACAGTTTTATGTGAATATACAAATTGTTTGCATGACCAACTTAAGGCTAGGTTTCCATATCTGTTGCTCATTTGAACAGAATTAAGAAAGACAAAGAGTGTTTCATATATCCCAGCATGACAATGGTGTTTCAAAAGTGTTTGTTTTAGCAACAAATTTTCCTGCTATTAAGATATATTTTCCTGGGTACCATAAAGGCATACATCTATACATCAAGTACTATAGACTGATCAAGCACCACGTATCTTGTGCCAAGTGCACTAAGGGATCCTGTAAGGCATGTCAGTGGCTTTTATTGGCAGGTGATTAATGAAAGGAACAATAGATATGCTGATAGGCTCCTATTACCGCTTCAACTGAAAAAAGTTCCCTGTTCATCAGGTCTGCGTTTGACACTCTCAAAAACAATTGCTTTTTGTGGTCAAGTAAAGTTTCTGGATTAACTACACTAAACAAAAGTGGCAGAAAAATCCTCTTCGAAACAGTAGGTCAAGGAATGAATCATTTAATTAGATTGGTACCATTTCTTACAGAAATTCCCTTTTCTTTCAACTCTGGGGTAAAATGCAGAAAACCAACATGTGTGATTTGTAAATAAACATACTTTATAATGGAAAGAAAAATAATATTTAAGCACCATGCTATGTTCTTTACACATACTACCGTAACATTTACAACAATTTTTATATACTGTCTGGTAGAAATTAAAGTTCTAGCAACATAATCTGAGGAGGGGATATATTTGCTCACTTACCCAACAAGTTCAAAAGAAGAATAGGTAGAGTCAGAAGTGGTTACAGGAGTATGATGATGGTCTCAGGAATATGGGCTGCTTTAAACATTTCTCAGGTGTATCTTACTCCTTTGTTGGTCTTATTTTGAGTCACGCTTTAATCAAGGGGTAAAAAATGAATCACTAGCAACTTTGATATTTTATTGTCCTTAAGGCTAGCCATTATCTTAAAAAGTGAGTGTCAATTTCCCAAGAGCATTCTCGGGGGATTCTGAATAGACTGATATTTACCCTATTTTCAGTTTAACCAACAGAATCTTTGATAAAAGGCCTACAGAAAATACAAACTCTCAAAATAAAAGAGTTATAAATATATACAGAAATGCTAGGAAGAATAATACCATGTTCTCTATGAAAGTATTATACTTCCCAGTATGTGTCAGCATAGTGAATTAAATGGAGGCCCACTCAAATACATGTCCTAATCTCTGAAAACCATGAATGTGACCTAATTTGAAAAACAAGTTGTATCAGTCTATTTTGCATTGCTATAAAGGAATATCTGGGACTGGGTAATTTATAAAGAAAAGAGGTCTAGTTGACTCACAGTTCTGGAGGCTGTACAAGAACTAGGCATCTGTTAGGCTTCTGGCGAAGGCCTCAGAAAGCTTTTACTCATGGCAGAAGTCAAGGGGAGGCAGTGTGTTACAGATAAAGAGAGGGAGCACGAAAGTGGGAGAAGAGAGGTCCCAGGCTCTTTAACAACCAGACCTCCCACGAACTAGTAAAGCACGAACTTATTCATTACACGATGGGGAGGGCACAAAGCCATTCATGAAGCATCTGTCCCTATGACCCAAATGTCCCCACTATATTCCACCTTTGAAATTGGGGATTTATTTCAATATAAGATTTGGAGGGAACAAATATGCAAACTATATCAAGTGTCTTTGCAGAAATAATCAAGTTAAAGGTTTTTGAGATGATATTATACTGAATTATTGAGTGGGCCGGAAATCCAATAGGAAGTGTCCCTGTAAGAGATAGAAGAGAAAAAAACACTGATAAAGAAGACAAAGCCATGTGAAGATGGAGGCACAGACTGGAGTTATGCTGTCACAAGGGAAGAAACACCTGGAGTCAGCAGAAGCCGGAAGAGGAAAGAAAGTTTACTCCTATTGATCCTTTGATGAGCTCACAGGCCTACTGATGCCCTAATCAGGACTTGTGGCCTCCAGAACTGTGAGATAATAATTTGTTGTTGTTTAATCTAACTAAGTTGTGGTAATTTGTTATGGCAGCCAGAGGAAACTAATACAGCCAGTGAGAAAACTGAGTTCAAAGCTCAAAGCAATTTGCCCATGTGTGTACAACTAGTAATTAGCAAAGTAGAATTTAAAACTAATCATTTTATTTGACTCTTAAATTCCATGTCCATTCTGCTGTTTGCACAGCATTGATATTTTACAGATTTATTGGGCAACAATTATAATTCAAATGCTTATTTCCTTCACTAAAGCATGGATTCATTTGGTGAAGGCTACATTTTTATTCTTTCTTCTTGCTCATAGTAATCTTTTTCTTTTATTTCATATTGTCAGAAAAGCAAGACTTTCTTTGCCACCAAACTCCTCCCTGGTAAATCACCCTTAAAAAGCAATAAGTTTTATTTTTCTTAGTTTCAACCTGGATAGAGATTCATCTTGGCTGTATATACTCAATGTATTCAGTTTTGACTTTCTACTTCCATTTTTTTGGTAATTTATCTAGCTATCTACATTTAAATCTATATTAAACTCTATATTTATACCCATATATCTATTCTACTTTATATTTATATATATAATAGAATTTAGAGATAACCTACATATATTGAAGAAATCTAGAATATTTACATGTTGCTGAATATACCTATATATTTACATATATTGTTAAATATATATTGCAAATATATGTAGGTTGCTTATGTCTAAATGTACATTATGGATTCATAGATTTAAATTTTTGTACTTCATATTTCCTCTGTTTAGAATGTCCTTTACCTATTTTCATCTATCAAACTGTAACCAGAGTTTGAGTTTTATATTCAGAAAACCCCCATCCCCCCCCACCCCACACACACACACACACACACGAAACCTTTCCAGGTCACTCTAGTGTAAAAAGAGAAAAAAGTCCTCTTTCATTTGCCACTGAGAAGCTTGTATGTGTACTACAGTATGAAAATGTTTTATAGTTACTATCAGGTTTTAAGCTATTTGGAAACTTTGGAATCATTTTATAGACCCCAAACTCAAAAAAAAAACTCTTTAAAACTAAAATGTAAATCTACGTATGAGAAGACTAGAGGTGCAAAAATGTTTACACAGTTCTTACACATTTAAATTTTCCCAAAATATATTTCATATCACTCTATGGCCTTCGCAGCAATATCTTACTTGGAAAACAAGTTTATCCAGTCAGAAAAAATATGATACCCTCCCTTAACTCTGTTTCATGCTGCAATGTGCTAGTAGTGACTGAAGATGAGATCAGAAACAGAGTGTCAATGTAAGAGGGTGGGATGAAAGTGACAGGTAGAAATATATACAGCAGGTGTAATTTATAATTAGCTTAAGAGACCTGAACAGCTTTCTGAGTACCTTCACAAATGTCTATCTAACACAGTGCTTTATATGCCCTGCAAATTACATGGTCCTTCTTGGTAGAAGGTTAGAGAACACAGAGATCAGTTATCTCTGAGAAAATGTATTACTAGGAAAATTTGGTAAAAGATTTAAAGCCAGCCGGGCGCGGTAGCTAACGCCTGTAATGCCAGCATTTTGGGAGGCCGAGTCGGGCGGATCACGAGGTCAGGAGATCGAGACCATCTTGACTAACACGGTAAAACCCCGTCTCTACTAAAAATACAAACAATTAGCCGGGCGAGGTGGCGGGCGCCTGTAGTCCCAGCTACTTGGGAGGCTGAGGCAGGAGTATGGCGTGAACCTGGTAGGCGGAGCTTGCAGTGAGCTGAGATTGCGCCACTGCACTCCAGCCTGGGCGACTGAGCGAGACTCCCGTCTCCAAAAAAAAGAAAAAAAAAACAGATTTAGAGCCACAAAACAACTAATTTAAGATACTTGCTTTCCCCGACTTATTATCATTTTCCTCTCAAATCTATTGTCAACCATCATGACGCTAATAAAGAACTAGTCCAATCCTGTGAGGAATGATGATCAGACATAGCTCTGGACTTAGGTTTGTTGGCAGAGATAGTCCACCAATAAATTATACTTCCTCAGGCAACAATTCATAATCGTTACAAAAAATTAGCTACCAAGTTCTGTGCTTCTCAAATCCTTTTCTATTAGGCATGGATTTGTAGGTTTTCTCTTTTGCAATTAGGCATGGACTTCTCACCAATGAAAAGTAAGTGCATGAGGAGAAGCGATGCGTGTACTTCTAGGCATGGTTCATAACAAAATTCCAAGTTCATTATTCTTTTTTATTTTCTTATCTTTTGGGTGCCTGGAATGAAATCAACCTTCAAGACAATCTCAGAGAATGCTTTGTTTAAAATTATAGAGACTCTGTCTTCTAGAATCCCTTAATTATTATATGAAAGAGGATCACCTGATGAACTGCTCTCCAGAACAAGCAAGAGTAAGAAATAGATTTGTGCTGCTTTTAGCCATTTGAAGTTCCTTTTGTTATATCAGTTAGATTACTCTAAACAATACTTTCATAAATAATAAAAGTTACCATAAAAATAAAAACATGGACAGTGCATACAGAATTATGCCAACTATTGGAAGAAAACTTTGAACACCAAGTGATACTGACAAATATTTAAATAAAATAAAATACCTTTATATAAACCAATACAGTATATAAAAAAATATTTTAAAGTTTCTGGTTTTAAGATTTAAGAAAAAAGTCATGGCTATCTAGGCAAAATGAGAATAATAAAACCTCTGACAAGCATTCAAAAATATGACTGAAAACATAACTTCTCAATGGTAGTACTTAGTTCTCGAAGAACAGTAAACAAATTCCACAAACTACCTGTTTTTATACCCAGCCATTTTTTTATTAAATAAAAATTTGACATGCACATATTTTTCAAACACGGGAAAAATCTTTAGGGGACAGAGAACATTTCTTGAACAAAATTAAACAAGCAAAAATTCCCAGAAGTACTTAAGGATATACTAGTCTAAGATGAAAGAAAACAAGATTTTAGGAGGGATATATAGAGATATATTGAGCAAATGTAAAAACTTCTTATAATACTTAATTTCTTGGGACATTTAAAAATATGTCATATATGTAATATATATAATATATGCATAATTATATATTATGTATACCTTTAGTCACTTTTTCTTACTATACTATAGTATTATACTATAGTATTAATAGTATAGAATATAGTGTATTTATAGTATATAGTGTTTGTAGTCTAGTAATTTGTTTATTTATAGTATATTTTGTTGTTTATTTATAAATAGTATTTATATTATAGAAATTTATTTATACAGTATATATCACCTTATCTGGAAGGACTTCTATTCAAATTGATCCTCCTATTCTAACTGCTAACCCCGGCAGTATCTTTCTTACCTCTTTTATTTTCTTTATAAATTGTATAATTTATGTTTTATATAGATACATATATATTTATTCATTTTATTATCTATTTGTTTTCACTAAAATGTAAGCTAGAATATTTTTATAATTTATGTATATATATATACAGACATACATACATATATTCATTTATTTATATAGTAATTGTAGGGAATGAAGGTGATTAGAATTTTCAACTAAAGGCAAAATCTGAATGATAGTAGAAACATGATTGTGATCATACTATGTTATTGACTATTCAGTATACTTTATTTAGAAAATCATAAGGTAATGACTGCTTAATATTTCTATTACTTAAAACCAACTACAAAGCATATAACGTGATGATTACAAAACCACATATATTATTTAAAATACCATGGAATAGAATTAATTACAATTTCAAATGTTCATGGAAAATGTATAAAAGTAGACATAGTAGGAAAAAAGTAAAGCAAGATGATTTCAAACACATAGAAATAACAATACGTTTTTCACCACAACAAAAAAAAAACTGCAATCAATGAAAATCACATCACAAGGAAACTAGCTACCTGGAAATTAAAAGTCAACAGAAACAGCAGTCTCTAAAATCACCCATGACCTGTTTTGTATTTGCCTTTGTATTTGCCATTCTTTTTGCCTAGACGGCACTTTTCTCAGATGTTCACATCGCTCAGCTTAACACTTCAGCCTTAGCCCAAACATCGCCTTCACAGAAAAGATTTCCTGATTCTGCTATTCAAATTGCTCACACCAACACTCTCTTTCTTAACTCCTTTTTCCTCCACAAATTATATAATTTCTGTGTATGTATACATACATACATAGTTATTTATTTTATCTCTCTGCTTTCACTAAAATGTAAGCCAGAATATTTTCCTTATTACATTCACTGATGTATCCCTAATTGCCTAGAAAAATTCCTCTGACATGACAGGAGGTTAATATACGTCTGTTGGATGAATTAATAAATTAATGAACATATGTAGTTAAAGGATTCATGCTTGAAATTCATTGAGCTGCTTGAATGTTAGGATTTTAACAACATATTTTATATTTTTTCTAAATTTGGTCATGAAGGAAAACATTTTAATTTTGAGTGGAAGAGATATCTATTAATCAAACAATAGTACCAAAAAGTCTAACCTTTTGGCGGGGCGCGGTGGCTCATGCCTGTAATCCTAGCCCTTTGGGAGGCTGAGGCGGGCAGGTCACGAGGTCAAGAGATTGAGACCATCCTGGCCAACAGGGTGAAACTGGGTCTGTAATAAAAATACAAAAATTAGCTGGGGTAGAGGCACGCGCCTGTAGTCCCAACTATTCGGTAATCTGAGGCATGGGAATCGCTTGAACCCGGGAGGCGGAGTGAGCTGAGATTGAGCCACTGCACTCCAGCCTGGTAACAGAGCGATACTCCCTCAAAAAAAAAAAAAAAAAAAAAAAAAAAAAGAGTTTCAACTTTTAATAGGAAAAATCACTTAAAGAGAAAGCGTATTTTGTAACTGAGCTGAGACCTGTAGAATAAAAACGAGTTACCTTGTCAAAGAGGAAAAGAAAGAAGATTATGGATACAAGGAATTTCTTATGAAAGGTCCTCTGTTGAGAGAGTACATGGTGAGCACAAAGAATTGAAAGAAGGCCTGTGTGGGGAATCTCCAAAATTTTCTAGTTATGGCATGATAGCTACAAATGAGCATATTGGAAGAACTTGAGAAAAGCTAACAGATTGGGAATAATTTAAAATAAAAAGAAAATAATTGGTATTGGATTAAATATGTGAATATGGGGCTGGAGAGAGAAGGAGGTGTCATGAATGATTCCTACATCATTGCATTTGAAACTGTATAGACAGTAGCTTCATTAATTTAAATGTGGACTGTAAGAAGAGATTCACATCAGGGAAAGAAGTTTAACATTTCAAATCTTAAGGCATGAAGGCATGATGGATAATGTGTTGAGTAAAAAACAGTTGGAAATAAATATCTGATGCTCAACATATTCAGTTTATGATCTATAAACAGGCAGTTAGGAAAGTCTTGGATGAAAATGGAATTACCAAGAATGGGATTATCTAAGTTCTTAGTAAATGACATTACCCAGGGATATCATTCTGAATTTCCTACTTTGAGAACTTTGAATGTACTGTGGACAAAGAAAGGACAATGAGTCTGCAAATGAGAAAAAGAAAAGCAAGCAAAAGGCAGAGAGTAAAACAGGAAGAAGTGTTAGAGAAAATGAAAACAAGAGTAAATTGTCAGGGGTGGATTGGTAGAGGACAGCAAGGTCACTCATGTCAAATACAACTGAAAGGAAGACAGAAAAAACATCTCTACTTACCAACAAAAATGTGACCACCGGCCAAAAGCAAATTAACGCTATGAAAGGAACCTAGTTATCTGCATAATTTAGGATGCACATGCCAGGAAATTGGACTTGGGATTCGGAATCATGTGAGCATCACCGCTGGTTCTTCAAGTTTGCATTTTTAATTTTGGTTCATACTCAGAAATATAGTCTTGTTGTCAGAGGATTTTTTTCAGAATTAAATTATAAACAGATGTGAATTTTCAGTGAACATCTAGGTGACTTGCCTCTTCAATTATTTTGGATCTTAAACTCTCTCATTAAGTTTGGTCCTAATTTGCTTCCCAAATCATCTGCTTCAGTTGTTGATATAACCCGTGTTAGCAGTAGGGCTGTGTGTAAAACATCTGAACCTAAAACTCAAAGTTTTAATAGTATAATTATCTTCTAAGTTGTTACTTAGAATAATGCTGCATTCAAAATACAAATAACAAAAATGCCTATCATTTTAATTCTGCTTTCAGATGCAATTAGACAGTCCACCACAAGACCAGGGATGGTGACATTTATCATTTGCAACTTTGACCTAGCAACTTTTTTCCATTTATTCTTTGCCTACAAAACCCTACTTTATATATCAGTCAAAGCCATTTTTGACATGTATAATATTATTGTCTGTATACCTTTCTTTAGTGTCTGTTCTATGGCCTGTGGCTCCAAAATTTAATTTTTTAAATAGCAAAATCTTAGTCTTCAATGGAATTTATATAGACGGTCAATTTGAGAAAAAGCTTATTAATTAATAAAAATAGCTTGTATATTCACAGAGAATTGCAGTCTGCAAATTTACATTGAATGTCCTTATTATAGTTAAGTATATACTGCTTTGCTTTTTGTCTAGAATAATTGGTTCTAGCTAGCACTTTTTCCAAAGTGTATGTTTCTAATCTCCATGCAATTTTCTAAATCTCCTTTTGACTGTGAACTGAAACTCCAATGACCATCTCATTCAACATTAAAAATAATGTTAATTCCCTTAAGATACAAATCCAACAAATTAGGAGTTATATTGATGCCATACTTAAATATACACAGTGAATTGTTTCAGCTGTACTTTGGACCCTGAGTTCACAGTCTTGGAAGACAAATCCAAAACATTTTTTAAAACACACATGTAGTCACTTTGATGTGCTGATACCTTGTTTCATTTTCTATTTACGGTGGTGAGAAATTAACTCGTTGAAGCCCTTTTGTAGATATATTAAAGCCCAGGGTATATTATCTTCAGGCACAAGAGTTACTGCATGAGGTTAGCCTTAAGAATAGTTAACTTCTGATTTCCCTCTCTGTATTCCCTCATGCAGAATAAGAACTGTTAGTAATGATGTTGCTAATAATATTGTGCCGCAATTTTTTTAATGTTAAAATTTAAATAACAAAAATGCTTTTAAGATCCAACTTTTGTTATGAATATTTAGATTTAGGAGTTTGCTAGTGAGTATAGTTTGGTATCTTCTACTCTGACAGTTTTCTAATTAGGGAATACTCCTCTCTGTAGTTATTGGGAATATCATTTTCTGTCAGGTTTCATACATTTAACTATATTTATAATTCACATCAAAACATGTACATTCAAGCATAAAAGCCTTGATTATCGCAGTTCAGGTTTGTGGTAGTATTTAAGCTTTCATTATTTTTAGGCCTCAGAGAAAAAGGAAATATCCTTACTTCTCACTTAGTTCATAATATAGCTTTGGATATCTGGATATTTTAGTTTCATTATTATCTAGAATACAAAGCAACAACTGAAAAGACAGATCAGGGTTAGGACTGAGATAACTTGTGGAAAAAAAATTACTAAAATGCAGTAAAGCCCTACATGAATGTACTGCAAAGAATCGAGGATGCATTCCTTAATATATTCTCAGTATTTTGACAGACAACAACAAAGTCCAGAATTGTACTTTCTAAAAAAAAAAATCATATTTCCACAGGCAAAGAATACATATACTTCCACATGTATCACGGCATGAATTTACTTAAATGGCTACAGGGTTTTATGCAGGTTTTGCTACAAATGCTATTCCATTATTTGGAGTTTTGAGAGACAAGAAAGTTCAATTAGGCTTCTTTGCAAAATGGGATATATGATACCATTCAGACAAAGAAACCTTAGTAGAAAAGAAAAAAAAAACTTTAGAAAAGGAGAAAAATCTTTTTTATTTACAACGAAAATGCCAATTTTAGTACTTTTTATTTTCGCTTATATATACAAAGACAAAAATAGTTACAAGACAAAAATAGGCATTTGTAGCTTAGATGTCAACAGTTCTTACAAAAATGCTTCAATATTTCAAAAAAGTTATGACTTTTCCAAACAACTTTTTAAATATATCTAGGCATCTGCTACCTAGAAGAGTTGTTAACATTTTTGGATAAGGATATTTCCTAGCTAGCTATTCTTGAAAGCTATGCTTTGAATTATTTGATTTGAGCTAGGTGAAATGGATAACACACCAAGGGCTTTACTCTCAACAAACCTCTGTTTTAAGTTACTCTTTATGTTGGAGGTGAGGAGACAGACACCTGATGCTTTCCTGCCATCTTACTTTTATCCAAAGTGAAAATATTTCTTTTAGACAAGCATTGTTGAGAGGAATCCTCTGCTTTTTGTAGCACTTTGAAATCAGATGTTGAAAATTCTAGAGATTTTTTTTCAAGTGAGCTAGCTTTCTATTTTACCCTGAAAATAATCTTGACTAAAATTTGCATCAAGAATATATTTTACCCATCACTTAGCAGAGACAACTTCCTGTCACCAAAACACTGACTACTATTTACTTCTTAAAGTATATACAGGTTGAGCATTACTAATCTAAATTCGGAAACTCAAAGTGCTATAAAACGCAAACACCATAGGCAGAAAATTTCATATCTGACCTCATGTGAGGAGTTGCAGTCAAAATGCAGTCAAAAGTTTGCTTTATTTACAAAATTATTTAAAATATTGTATAAAATTATCTTTAGGCTACGTGTACAAAGTATATATAAAACATAAGTAAGTTTCATGTTTAGACTTGGGAGTCATCCTAAGATATCTCATTGGTAATTGCAAGTATTCAAAAATTCAAACAATTCTACATTTGAAACATTTCTGGTTCCAAGCACTTCAGATAAGAGATACTCTATTGCTATAAAACATTATTTTACTAATAGTTTAAAAATATATAAACTTGCATGGACACATACTGCAAAAACGTATTAGATATTTTTTCCAAAATCTAATTAAAAATTTTGAAGTATTAACTCTTCTTGGTGGCCTAACACGTAGCTTTCTTTTAATAATGATAGTGTAGTATACATTATAGTTGTTTAACTCTTTTATAAAATCAATATTTAAATGAAAGGACACTTGGTAACATAAATTAATACAGCCTCTTTGTTCTTATGGTTTATATTATATCTACCCAAGAAATATTCTTTGTAAAAATATACCATACAAATATGTAATTTATATAATCATTTTATATAAACCTACCATAAACCAGAGAAAAACTATTGAATTTTATGTAATTCAAAGCATGGATGATGTACCTTAAAAATTCAAGGTACCTCTTATTATACTAATAAAACATATCCTTTAAACTATATTATTTGTTTATAAAGCTCCATATGCAGGTTAAGGGAAAAAACAGTGTGTAAGTTATATTGCTAGTAGTAAACTGATATACTGAACTTTTAGGCAAGAACTTATTTCACAAAAATAGTTTTCAATGATGTCAGGAATTTTAGGACAATAATCAGTACAATGTAAAAGCACTCATTTTCTCTCAAATGGTGAGACATTTTGTACTTGAGAAAAGTTAATCTATCTTGAAAAATATGGTTCTTAATGAGGCACAAAACTGAATATATTTTTAAAAGATATCAAGGCTTGAAAGCATCTTATCTGTATGAGAGCTAGTTATTAGTGACAGCTTGGTATTTTAACCTTAATATTCAATAAAACATATGTTTATATGTTCATGAATTTTTCCTTTAAAAGTATCTTTTTGATAAAAACAAACATTTGCAAGTTTTAAATTAAGAAACAGAAATCATTAGACCACCAGAAGTCGTATTTCCTGTAGATAAAAGTTAAATTCTAGTGGGTTTTTAAAAATTATATTGAGATATATTGGTTTGCAGAAAAAATCAGAAAATTAATAAATGCTTAGCAAACATTACATACTTTAACCTATGTCAGTCCAATATTACTGCATTTAAATATTTATTGCCTATTTATTCTTAGCAATTATATATACTACTTTGTTTATAGTTATCAATTATTGTTTTTTTTAGTTTTCTAGAGTGTTTCTTTTAGTTAGAGTCACCTAAACTATATAGAATATTTTTATATTAGAAAATATCAAGTAGAACTAATAACAGTTACTCAATAATATAGATTCAACCTTTACCAATAAAAGAAGGAATTGACGACATATACAAGTACCTGACTACATAATATATTTTTGGATAGCTCAAATTGAGAATTAGCTTTGTGTTACACAGTAGCCATCAGAAGTACTGATCACTAACACTTATAGAATGGGATTGTACATCAGGTTCTGCTTTAAGTGCTGTAATTACATTGACTTACTATATGTCAAAGCAACACCTATGATGTAGGTACTATTATAATCTCATTCTATAGACTGTGAAAATGAAGTATAAAGAAATTATAACTTGTCAAATATCACAAGCCAATAAATGTTAGAACAGGGGATTCAAACTGAAGTGTCCGGATCCACAATCTGGCCTCTCCTTCGTTGTGCTATCCTACCTGCAAAGAGTTGAGCTTCTGTGGAGTCACTAGGAAGCTGTCAGATTAACAAACCCAACCTCTTTCCATAGAAAGAAATGGCTTAAGAGGAATGATTCTTTCACATTTCTCCAACATTCTTCAACAATTTCTTTTAATTTTCATACAACTTCTATCAATGTTTGCCTTTTCACTTTTCTCTAGGACTTTTGTTTTATGGTGGAATAGTGCAGAGTGGCTGGGCCATTTGGAGTTAGTTTTCAGAAACAAGAGAGATAAAGAATGAAGCGCAAGCCTTCCATCCAAAAAAAGTCCTGGAGACCTTTTAACTTGTCTCTATTTCAACTATCATTGATCCAACATAGTCAAGGCAAGCAGACAAGTGAGGATTTATGCTATTATCGTGTTCTTATTTTAATCATTTGTTACATTTTGGAAACATCTGAAAAAGCATTTAGAGATGTCATGAAGAGATGTTACTTCTGAAAAGATGAAAATAGTGCCAAATACACCAAGGGTAGATTTATAGCTCAACAAAGATAAAGATAGCCTCCTTCAGACACAATGAATTATATTTACCACATGAGAGAGGCAAGAATTTTGAATATGGGTTTAATTAAATCCATCCGGGGGCACATGCCATGATTAAATTTAAGAGTTATTCAAAATAATTTTAAAATATTTATTTTAAGGGTAGAGTTACTGACATATTATTCAAAGTTATTTCTCATGCTGAAATAAACTTTCTTCTAATGTCATCCCAAAATTTGTATAGTCAAGTCTAATAAGAGATGATAAAATTTAGACGTAAATATAAAAATAGCAGTATTTCACACATTAAGCTACCATGTAAGACTGGGACTGAACTGAATGCAGTTGCAGCCACATTTTAATTGTGGAATCACATAGAATTATTTAATCACATGGAATACAGAACTCTTGAGTTGGAATTGAACATCTACATGACAACAAGTAGTAATGAACCCAAAAGTTCATCTTAGTTTTACGGACTGAAGAAATCTGAGTTGATCTCTGAGTTCCGTTTTTCTTATTCTTAAAAATTTAACTAAAAGGCTATTATCAGAAAAGATGAAAGACAACAACTGTCATAAATGTAGAGAAAAGATAATCCTTATATATTGTTGATGGAAATGTAAATTGGTACAGCCATGATAGAAAACATTATGGAGGCTCTGCAAAAAAATTAAAAATAAAATTTCCATATGATCCAACAGTCACAGTTCTGGATATATATTCAAAGGAAATAAAATTCAGGTCTGAAAGAGATGTCTGGATGTCATGTTCACTGCTGCATTATTCACAATAACCGAGATATGGAAACGACCTACATATTGGTCAACAAATGAAAGGATAAAGAAATGTGGTACACACACACACACACACACACACACGCAAACACACACAGACAATACAGTATTATACAGCCTTAAAAAAGAAAAAACCCTATCATATGTGACAACAAGAATGAGCCTAGAGGCCACTATGCTATATGTAGTAAGTCAGAAACCAAAAGACAAATACTGCATGATTTTACTCATATGTGGTACCTAAAAATGTTAAACTCACAGAAGCAGAATAGAATGGTCGTTGCTGAGGGTTGGGGTAGAAAAAGTAGGTGGCCGGGCGCGGTGGCTCACGTCTGTAATCCCAGCACTTTGGGAGGCTGAGGCGGGCTGATCACCAGGTCAGGAGATCAAGACCATCCTGGCTAACACGGTGAAACCCTGTCTGTACTAAAAAAATACAAAAAATTAGCCAGGCGTGGTGGCGGGCGCCTGTAGTCCCAGCTACTACTCCGGTGGCTGAGGCGGGAGAATGGCAGGAACCCGGGAGGCAGAGCTTGCAGTGAGCCGAGATCGCGCCACTGCACTCCAGCCTGGGCTACGGAGCGAGACTCTGTCTCAAAAAAAAAAAAAAGAAAAAGTAGGTATGGTTGGCCTAAGGCTTTCAAAGTTCAGTTATTCAAGCTAAATAATTTCTAGAAATCTAATTACAGCACGGTAACTATAGCTAATTATATTCTTATTACATACTTGAAATTCGTATAGAGTTAAGTTTAAGTACTCTCACCACACACACATAGACACAAACATAGTGTAACTATGGGAGATGATGGATGTGTGAATTAGCTTAATTGAAGGTAATCATTTTACATTGTATGCGTATATCAAAACATCATGTTGTACATCCTAAATAGATACAACTTTTATTTGTCAAGTATACTTTAATAAAACTGGGGGAAAAAACTTTGAATAAATAAATTAAGCCTGATAATATTGCCCTTTTCTGTGTTTATACAGTTCTCTATTAAACAACATTAAAAGATGAAAAACAATAAAAATAATTTAGTCCTTATGCTATTTTTTAAAATTTTTCATTTCCAAGTGTTTTGTCCTTGTTCATATGGTGTAAGAGATTACCAAGAGAATCTAAACCAGATCTCCAGCTCTACTTACACTCCTGAATATATCTATACTCTTCTGGACTTAGTCATCTCAGTGACAAGCAGACATTTAATCTTTATATAAGAAAAAAATAGACAAATAAATCTCCCTTTTAAAAACTTGTATTACTCAATCAGAACTTCTGGAAATAAAAGACACATTTAGGGAACTATAAAATTCAGTGGAAAGTTTTAATGATAGGCTACACCACATAGAAGAAAACATTTCAGAGCCCAAAGACAAGACTTTCAATTAAGCCAATCAAACAAAAATAAAAAATTAAATTAAATTAAAAATAAAGATCAATGTCTGTAAGAAATATGGGATTATTTAAAAAAACCAAACCTATGAATCTTCCTGAGGTTGAAAGAGAGCAGAAAGTCTCAAAAACCTATTTGAAGGACTAATTGAGAAAAAATTTTCCTGGCCTTGTTAAAGACTTAGACATCCAAATACAAGAAGCTCAAAGAACTCCTGTGAGAGTCATTTGCACAAAGGACCTCACCAAGGCATATAGTCTTTGGGCTATCTAAAGTCAATATAAAGGAAAGAATTATAAGTGCAGTGAGACAAACGCATCAAGTAACCTATATGAGAAAACCTATCAGAATAACAGCAGACTTCTCAGCAAGAATCTTAAAAGCCAGAAGGGATTGGGGTCCTATTTCTAGTCTCCTTAAGCAGAATAACTCCCAGCCAAGAATTGTGTATCCAAAAAAAACTAAGTTTCATAAATAAAGAAAAAATAAAGTCTCTTTTAAACAAGCAAATGCTGAGGGAATTTATCAACATTACACCAGACTTACAAGAAATGCTAAAAGGAGTTCTAAGTCTTGAAACAAAAGGTTGATATGCACCAGAAGAGAAAGTCTTGAAAGAACAAAATTCGCAGGGCTAATAAAACAATAACACAATGAATAATACAAAGTCATTAGGTAAGAACATGATGACTGTAACAGTACCTCATATCTTAATATTAAGGTTGAATGTAAATGGTCTAAATACTCTACTTAAAAGATACAGATTGGCAAAATGTATTTAAAAATTACAAACCAAATATTTACTGTCTTCAGGAAACCCACTTAACACATGGGTATTCTTATAGACGCAAGGTAAAGGAGTGGAATAAGATATTTTATGCAAATGGAAACCAAAAGAAAATATGAGTAGCTATTCTTATATTAGATAAAAACAGATTTTAAAGCAACAACAGTTAAAAGAAAAGATGAAGAAGGTCATTATATAATGATAACCAGTTCAACTCAACAAGAAGATATAACAATTCTAAAAATGTATGCACCTAACTCCAGAAAGAGTGAATAAAGCCCTACTAGACTTAAAGAAAGAATTAGACAGCAACACAATAAAGTGGAGAACATAAACACTTCACTTATAGCACTAGACAGATCATCAAGGGAGAAAGTCAACAAAGAAACACCACATTTAAACTGCACTCTAGAACAAATGGACCTAACAAATATTTACATAATATTCTACCCAAGAACTGCAGAATATACACTCTTCTCAGCACAAGGAACATGACGCAAGATCGACCATATGATAGGCCACAAAAAAAGTGTCAATAAACTTTTTTAAATCAAAATCATATTAAGTATCTTCTCAGACCATAGCAGAATGAAACTAGAAATCAATTCGAAAAGAACACTCAAAACTATACAAACATATGAAAATAAAACAATCTGCTCCTGAATGATTTTTTGGTTAACAATAAAATTAAAATGAAAATGTTTTCAAAACATTCAAAATGAATGATAACAGTGATAAGAGTTATCAAAACCTGTGGTATACAGTAAAAGCAGTGCTAAGAGGAAAGCTTATAGTGCTAAATGCCAACAGCAAAAGTCTAAAAAGTTACAAACTGGCAACCCATTGTCATGCCTCAAAGAACTAGAGAGAAAAGAACCAATCAAACCCAAAGTTAGCAGAAAAAAAAATAGAAATAACAAAATCAGAGCAAAACCAAATGAAACTGAAAAAATACAAACACACACACACACCCCAAACAAAAAATTAATAAAATGAAAAGCTAGTGCTCTGAAAAGATAAAATTGAAAAACCACTAGCTAGATTAACCAAGAAAAGATTGATTCAAAAAAGTTCAATTAGAAATGAAAATGGAGGCATCACAACTAACAACACAGAAATGCAAAAGATAGAGACTACTATGAACACCCCTAGTCACACAAACTAGAAAATCTAGAGAAAAGGGATAAATTTTTGGAAATATACAAACCCCACCTCTAGCTTGAATCAGGAAGAAATAGAAATACAGAACAGATCAATAACAAGCAGTGAGATTAAATCAATATGAAAAAAACTGCCAAGGGCAACAAAAAAGCCCAGGGCCAGATTGATGTAAATCTGAATTCCATCAGACATTTAAATAACTGATAACAATTCTACTGAAACTATTCCAAAAGATTCAAAAGGAGGGAATGTTCCCTGATTTATTCCATGAAGCCAGTATTATCCTCATACCAAAGCCAAGAAATGACATAACAACAAAAAAAGAGATAAAACTACAGAGCAATATTCCTGATGAATAGAGATGTAAATATGTTCAACAAAATACTGGCAAACTGAATCCAACAGCATATTAAAAACATAATTCACCATGATCAACTGGGTTTCATTCCAGGGAGGTAGGGATTTTGCAATACTCAATATAATGTGATTAATCACATAAACAGAATTAAAAACAAAAAACATATGATCATCTCCATAGATGTAGAAAAAACATTTCATAAAATCCAGCACCTCTATAAGACAAAAACCCTCAATAAACTAGGCATAGAAGGAACATACCTGAAAATAATAAAAGAAGCATACGAAAAAACCCACAGCCAACATCTTACTAAATGGGGAAATGTTGAAAGCATTTTCCCTAAGAACTGGAACAAGAAAATAATGCACATTTTCACTACTTCTGTTTAACATAGTACTGGAAGTCCTAGCCAGAGCAATTAGGCAGGTTAAAAAAAAAAAAACACCTAGATTAGCAAAGAAGTAGTCAAACTATTTTTATTCGCTGATGATATGATCTTACACTCAGAAAACCCTAAAGAGTCCTCCAAAATACTCTTGGATCTGACATATAAATTCAGTGAAGTCTTGGGTTACAACATCACTGTACAAAAACAAGTAGCACTATTATACACTAACAATGACTAAGCTGAGAATTAAATCAAGAATTAAATCCCTTTACAATAGTTAAAAAAAAAAAAATGCCCAGGAATATACTTAGCCAAGGAGGCAAAAGATCTCTAAAAGGAGAACCACAGAACACGCTGAAGGAACCATAGATGAAACAAATGTGAAAATGCATCCCATGTTCATGAATTGAAATAACTAATATTGAAAAAATAACCATAATGCCCAAAGCAATCTACACATTCATTATAATTCCTATCAAAATCCCAACATTATTTTAACATATTTAGAAAATTCAATTCTAAAATTTATAGAGAATCAAAAAAGAGCATTATAGCCAGTACAATCCTAAGCAAAAGGTATAAATCAGGAGGCATCACATTACCTGACTTCAAATTCTTCTACAAGTCTGCAGTAACAAAAACAGCAAAGTACTGGTATAAAAGTAGATACACAGACCAATATAACAGAATCCAGAATCCAGAAATAAAGCTAAATATTTATCTCCAATCAGTCTTTGACAAGGTATATTAGTCCATTCTCACACTGCTATAAAGACTTGCTTGAGATTGGATAATTAAGAAACAAAAAAGTCTTAATAGACTAATGGTTCCACATGGCTGGGGAGGCCTCAGGAAACTTACAATAATGGCAGAAGGGGAAGGGGAAGCAAGGCATTTTCTTCACAAGGGGGCAGGAGGGAGAATGACTGCAGAGGAACTACCAAATACTTATAAATCCATCAGCTCTCATGAGAACTCACTATCATGAGAAGAGAATGGGGGAAATCACCCCCATGATCCAATAACCTCCACCTGGTCTCTCTCTTGACACATGGGTTTTATGGGGATTATGAGGATTACAATTCAAAATGAGGTTTGGGGGAGCACACAAAGCCTAACCACATCATTTCACCCTTGGACCCTACAAAATGTCATGTTCCTTTCACATTTCAAAACCAATTATGCTTTCCCAGTAGTCCCCCAAAATCTTGATTCATTCTATTATTAACCCAAAATTCCAAGTCCAAAGCCTCGTCAAGACAAGGCAAGTCTCTTCTGCCCAGAAGCCTGTAAAATCAAAATCAAGTTAGTTGCTTCCAAGACACAATGGAGGTACAGGTATTGGGTAAATGTTTCCATTCCAAATGGAAGAAATTAGCCAAAACAAAGATGCTACAGGTCCCATGCAAGTTCAAAACACTGCAGGGCAGCCATTACATCTGTAAGATTAATCTGAAATTATCTCCTTTGACTTAATGTCTCACATCTGGGTCATGCTAATGCAAGAACTAGATTTCCCACAGTTTTGGTTATCTCCAACCCTGGTGGCTTTTCGGGGCACAGCCCTCTTCCTGGCTGCTTTCCTAGGCTGGCGTTGAGTGTCTGCAGCTTTTCCAGGCACACAGTGCAAACTACCAGTGGATCTAACATTTTGGGGTTTGGAGGAGAGTGGCCCTCTTCTTACAGCTCCAATAGGCAGTTTCTCAGTGGGGACTCTGTGGGATTCCCTCATTTTCCTTCCACACTGCCCTAGCAGAGGTTCTCCATGAGGACTGGACCCCTGCAGCAAACTTCTGCCTGAACATCCAGGTGTTTCCACACATCCTCTGAATTCTAAGTGAAGGTTCCCAAACCTCAATTCTTGACTTCTGTGTACCCACAGCCTCAACACCATGTGGAAGCTGCCAAGACTTGGAGCTTGCAGCCTCTGAAGCAATGGCCTGAGCTGGACATAGGCATGTTTTTTCCATGGCTGGGAAGCAGGACATCAAGTTATGAGACTGCACAAAGCAGCAAGGTCCTGCATCCAGCCCACAAAATCATTTTTCCTCCTAGGCCTCTGGGCTTGTGATGGGAGGGGTGGCCATTAATACCTCTGACATGCCCTGGAGACATTTTCTCCATTGTCTTGGTGATTAACATTTGGCTCTTCATTACTTATGCAAATTTCTTCAGTAGGCTTGAATTCTTCCCCAGCATATGAGTTTTCCTTTTTTTTTTTTTTTTTTTTTAATAATATACTTTAAGTTCTGGGATACAAATGCAGAACATGCAAGTTTGTTACATAGGTATACACATGCCATGGTGGTTTGCTGCACCCATCAACCCATCATCCACATTAGGTATTTCTCCTAATGCTATCCCTCCCTTAGCTCCCCACCCCCTGACAGACCCTGGTGTGTGATGTTCCCCTCCCTGTGTCCATGTGTTCTCTTTGTTCAAGTCCCACTTATGAGTGAGAACATGCGGTGTTTGGTTTTCTGTTCCTGTGTAGTTTGTTGAGATTGATGGTTTTCAGCTTCATCCATATCCCTGCAAAGGATATGAACTCTTCCTTTTTTATTGCATCAGGCTGCCTATTTTTGGAACTTTTATGCTCTGCTTCTCTTTTAAACATTAGCTCCACTTCCAAACCATACTATTGTAAATGCATAAAACTGAATGCTTTTAAGAGCACTCAAGGCACCTCTTGAACACTTTGCTGCTTAGTAATTTCTTCCACCAGATACTCTAAATCATCATTCTCAAGTTCAAAGTTTCACAGATCTATAAGGTGGGGCAAAATGCCAGCAGTCTCTTTGCTAAAGTATAGTAAGAATCACCTATATTCCAGTTCACAACAAATTTGTCATCTTTATCTGAGACCATTTTAGCCTGGACTTCATTGTCCATTATCACTATCAGCGTTGTGGTCAAAGCCATTCAGCAAGTCTCAAGGAAGTTTCAGACTTTCCTACTTCTTCCTGTTTTCTTCTGTGCCCTCTAAATTGTTCCAACCTCTGCCTGTTACCCACTTCCTAAGCTGTTTCCACATTTTTGGATATCTTTATAGGAGCACTCCACTCTATGCGTTACCACCTAACTGTATTAGTTGATTCTCACATTACTATAAAGAACTGCATAAGCCTGGGTAATTAAGAAAGAAAAGAGGTTTAATTGACTCAAAATTCCACATGGCTGGGGAGGCCTCAGGAAACTTAAATTTATGGTGGAAGTCACCTTCTTCACAAAGTGGCAGGAAGGAGAATGAACACAGGAGCAACTACCAAACAGTTATAAAACCATCAGATCTCATGAGAACTCACTCACTATCATGATAACAGCATGGGAGACATCATGCCCATAATCCAATTACTTTCACCTAGTCTCTCTCTTGACATGTGGGGATTATGAGGATTAGAATTCAAGATGAGATTTGAGACGGGACACAAAGCGTAACCATATTACAGAGCATATAAAAATGTTAATTTGAAAAAGAACATCCTATTCAATATATGATGCTAGGAAAATTAAATATCCACATGTAAAATAATAAAGCTACAGCTCTGTCTCTCACTATATAAAAAGATTCAAGATGAATTAAAGTTAAATATAAGACCTGAATCTATGAAAATTCTAGAAGAGCACCTAAGAAAGTCTCTTCTGGACATTGGCCTACAAAAAAATACATATATTGCGAAGGCCCCAAAAGGAAATGCAATGAAAACAAAAATGAGACCTAATTAAACTAAAAGGCCTCTGCACAGCAAAAGAAATAATTATCAGTGTAAACAGACAACTCAAAAATGAAAAAACAACTGCAAACTTTGTATCTGACAAAGGACTAATATCCAGAATCTACAAATAACTCAAACAAATCAGCAAGAAAAAAACTAAAAAATCTCATCAAGAAGCAGGCAAATGACATGAATAGATACTTCTCAAAAGAAGAAATAAAAAAGGTCAACAAATACATGAAAAAAAAGTAGACATCACCAAGCATCAGGGAAATGTAAATTAAAACCATAGTGAGATACCACTTTACTCCTGCTAGAATTTCCATAATTAAAAAGTCAAATAATAATAGACTTTGTCATGGATGTGGTGATAATGGAATGCTTACACACTGCTGGTGGGCTTGTAAATTAGTAAAACTTCTAAGGAAGACAACATAATGACTTCTCAAATAAATAATAATGGATCTACCATTCTATCCAGAAATCTCACTACTGGGTATCTCCTCAAAGGGAAAAAGTCACTATATCCCAAAACACCCACATGTATATGTTTATCACAACAAAATTCACAATTGCAAAGATATAGAATCAATCTAAGTGTCTTTCATCTGATTTAAGGATAAGGAAAATGTGGTGTACATGCATTATAAAATATATTACCATAGAAAAGAACCAAATATTCTACTGCAGCAAATTGGATGAAACTGGAGGCCATTATTCTAAGTGAAGTAAGTCAGGAATTAAAAATCTAATACCATATGTTTTCACTCATAAGTGGGAACTAAATTATGGGTACATTAAGGCATACTGAGTGGTGTAGTGGATACTGGAGACTCAGAAAGGAGGAGGAGTGTGAGGGATGAAAAACTGCCTATTGGGTACAATGCACATTATTCAGATGACAGGTGCACTAAAATCCTAGACATCAGCACTATATAATTCATTGATGTATTCAAAAACCACTTCTACTCCTAAAGCAATTGAAATGAAATTTAAAAAATAAGTATGTTCCTTATATTCTGAAGATTCCCACCAGCCTAGTTATCCAAAGTAGACAAATTGAGAATTTTTTTATTATCCTCTTTCAACTATTTTAATCAACTAATTTTTTATCTTAATATATTTCAGAGAGACAATTTTTATCATCTGCACTGCAATCTTTATGTGTTCTTTTTCCTACTTTGATGTTTCCCAACTCCATTCTATTTATCTGTGTATCTCACAGGTAAAAATATATAATCCTAATTTAAAATATTACCACATTTCTTCTCTTTAAATCAACTCTGACTAATTAAAGATATAGATGTTTGTATACAGAAACATTTATAGATATGTGCATATACATGGATTAATATATACATACACACATATATAATATACATTAAATTTATACAAATATATAATGCACACATACATTATATATTATATATAAGTTATTATATGTGTGTGTGTGTATTAACCCATTATATATTCAAGCTCTGTAATTAGAGATGGCTTTAAAACAACTGCACCTCGGTAGCAAGGAGTGCACCTGGCTTATTTGTCTTGGTTTCCAATACTTTTTTTTTCTAATAAAAGGAACCAGAGATACTTGGAGAAATAGCTGATTCTTAGACTGGGGCAAGAATTAAACAACATGAGTCTAGAGCATCTGATAGTGCTAGGAAGTGAGAAAATGCTCAAGATAACAACAACTCTAATAACAATAAAATCCACAATAAAGGGATATGTCAAAGGAAAACATGAGCCAAATGAAAGACTTCTCAATGACCGAAGCTAGAACAGTTTCTGAAACAAAATAAATACAAGTAAGAAATAAGAAATAAATATTATTTCATACTGATATAAATTATTGAGTGATACATTAATAGGGGATATAGACAAATCTCTCTGCAGACAAACTACAAATTATTTATGTAGATATTCTGTCCTCCAAGTGGTGGAGCATAAGTGTGGACCACTACTTAAGTGTGGACCACTGCTTAAGTGTGGACCACTGCTTAAGTGTGGACCACATAGTGACTTTCTTTCAAAGAGGCTAGTATGTAGAGGGAAATGAAGGGTTACAATGGGTGAACCTGAAATACACTATGTAAATCACGTAATAAGTACATCAATAGTGGTAAGTCATGTTGATAGCCTGATCTTTGATACAATGAGAAGGGCACTTTGTCTCTGTAATCTTTATCCCCAAACCAATAACCACAATCAAAACATGAGGAAATCATCAAGCAAATTCTACAGGAGGATATTTTATCAAATACCTGACCAAAATTCCTTACTACTCTCATTAAGCAAACCAGAAAAACTCTCATTAACAAACAAGAAAAGTCTGAGAAACTATCACATTTAAGAATAGCTTAGAAGGTATGAACACAAAATGTAATGTAATATCCTAGATGGAAAGCTGGAACAGAAAAAAAATCAGGTAAAAACTAAGAAAATTTGGATAAAGTGTATTTTTCAGCTAGCACTAATGTGTCAATATTGGTTCATTAGCTGTGACAAATTTACTACACTAATATAAGATGTGATTTTTTTATGTAAATCTGAAAGTATTCTGAAATAAAATGTGTATAAAAATAAGAAAAAATGATTCTTAAATAATTCTGAATATGGATGATGACAAAATAAACAAAACCAATAAAAAACATGGAAACACAATTAGAAACTTTAACAATGAAATAGCTACAAACTAAAACCAAAAGCCCTAAAATTACCCAGAAATTACGGACATAAATGGACTTAAATGAGGAAAGTGTTGTTCTAACCTCATGTAAGTTTCTCAAAATCCTAAGAAGACATTTTATTCTTAAAGTATGATCTACATGAAAATGTAATTCAATTGTCTTTGATAGAGATAGCAAGAACAAGAGGTAGAAGCATGAATGGTGTGAGAAAATGTGAGAAGATAATTTTAAAATATTCCAACAAACAAAAGCGAAAGCCCAGACCCAGATATGTTAGCAGGTGACTTCTATCAAACATTAAATCACACAAATTTTTTAATGTTCTTCCAAAAAATTACCCAGTGGCATTTATCCCACAAATGCAAAATCGGGTAAACATTTGCAAATCAATTAACATAGTAAGTCTGTTGATAGAAAAAGCATACACACAGGAAAAAAAAATGTATCATTACCTCAATAGACACATGGAAACTATTTGGCAAAACCTAGCACCCATTCATGATAAAAACACTCAACAAAAAGGAATATAAAATAAATTATTTAAATTGGTTAAGATCTACATAAAACCCATAGCTAATACTAAAAATAATAAAAGACTGAATGCTTCCTTCCTAAAATCAGAAACAATTGACAAAAGTCTACCAGACTAACCAAGAAAAAAGTAAAGACACATTTACTCTTATCAGGAATGAAAGAAGGCATTAAAAGTATTATTGACTAAAGACTCAAGCCAAACAAAATAGACAACTTAAATGAAACTTATCAATTCCCTAAAGGCAAAACTACCATAAATCACTCAAGAATAAATACATAATATAGTCTCTTAAAGGACTTGAATTGCTATGCAAAATCTTCCAAAAAAAAAAAAAAAAGTCTCCAGGGCTTAATGGTTTCATTGGCAAATTCTGTCAGAAATGTAAGAAAAAAATAATAGCAATTATACACATTCTCCAAATAGAAATTAAAGGGTATGTTTGCAGTTTACTCACCTATCATCATATGAAAATTGGTCATAACTTCATTATTCAGATGACACTGCTGACCCCAACTCAATGCAAATATCTGGCCAGATGTTTTATGTTCCCTGATATTATGGTTAGCTGTAGAATTTAATAATCACAGATATATTTGAATATTTCACTTTTTCTGGTTTACATATACTTCAGAGCTAGGTGGCAAATTATAAAGTCTATAAAGAAGTTTCAACAATAATTATGTGTACTATTAAAGCAGGCTTTCCTCAAGGGTACTTCTACTTTACTTAACTCAAAGGTCTTTGACCCAGACCTGGGTGAGAGACAGTAACTATCTACAGTGGTAGTTAAGTTCCATTTCTCTTCCAAACGCATGAATAGGTGGTACTTTCCTTAGTTTAAACAAGTTTAGTTATACCTTTGTGAGTATATGGACTCTTCATTTCTTTCCTAAGAGTTCCAAGATTAAGTAACTATATCCAAAGTGTATAGCATATGTACCACTTGCTGAATTAAGATTAGCATGCTTACCCTACAACTTCTTATGATAACCTTATACATATGTTTATTATTAGTTACACAAAGCATGTGGACTCCAGTGTCTCAGTCTCTCTCTGTTTCTGTTATGAGACTGTTTGTTTAAACATTTATCTCTTACATACACAACTTTAATAATAATTTTAAAAAACTGCAAAAGTAATTTTATTTATTTAAGAATTTTGGCATATATATTTACCAGTTTATTCTTTGTGATGTGAAGAAAGGGATGTTTTTTGAATCTTGGGAGAATATTGCTTATGACAGATCTAATTCAAAATTCCAGTTGTTTAAAGCTAAAACACCAAATCCTTTATTAATTGGCCCATGGTAGCAGATATGTTGACATCAGAGTATTAATCTTAGTAAGTACAAGGCCTCAGGTGATTATAGGCTCTGGATTAGTTTTATTCATCTTTCCCTAAAAACCATGTGCTTCAAATTTTCTTATTCTGGACTACAGATGGGTATTTGCATTTTTTTATTAGATCTTAATGCAGTAAACAATTCCAACTGTTGTACATTTTTTCTATTTTCTGTTGCCTCATGACCATGATCAATTTCTTAATTGGTATTTTTGTTTTGTTAGCAATCCATAGAAACATATTGTGAATAACAAAATAATAATGATTTTAAAAATAAATAAAAGTTTACAAGGAAAGTTATAAAACTGAAGGAAAGCCTGAACATAATTATATTAGGCAAAAGCAGACATAGAGTGACTTCTAGAATTCCATAGTCAGAAAATAATTTCTTAGATTTAATGTAGACCACTTGTTGATATTGGATTTTCACTAACTTCCACCGAGATACCTATATCATTTCTCACTACTTATAGTCATGTATCAATACATAATTATGTAAGATCATTTGAAAAAAAAGAATGGCTATATTTGGTCAGCTACACATTACAGACAAGTCCAGGTACATTCTGGAGTATTTGCCTTCTCAGTATTTCTGTGTTTCAAAAACAGGCATGTAGAAATGTCTGGATCTGCCACATGCCCTATGTCAGCCGAATGGTCAATCTCAGCCCATTTTTCCAGACATAAGCTGTTCTACTCTCCACATACCCCAGTAGACTTCTCAGGGCAATGGAGCTCCTCTGGGAGCCAAGTTTCTGGTATGTTTTTGCAAACAGGCTCAGGTTTTTAAGTTTCTCTTGTACATATAATGAAACTACATTCATCATTTTTAACAATTTAACCTACGTTTAATTCTCTTAAAATCTCGTTACAAGCTTTATGAGCTTGTAAAACTTAGGTTACATTGTTACAAATAAATCTACAAACCTTGGAGAGCTCTTACTCCCTCTCATGTCACAAGTTTCAATATGTATTTTCTCTTATCTAAGTGTGCTTTAAATATAGTAAAACTTCTTACTTTATTACTACATAAAAGTAAAAAAAAATTTTCACTAAATTTAATAATATCATCTTATTAGCCAATTTAGCTGTTTCAATAAAGAAAAGAGAGTGGGGGTTGATGGCAAGATGGCCGAATAGAAACAGCTCAGGTCTGCAGCTCCCAGCGAGATCTACGCAGAATTGGGTGATTTCTGCATTTCCAACTGAGGTACCTGGTTCATCTCATTGGGACTGGTTGTACAGTAGGTGCAGCAGACAGAGGGCAAGCCAAAGCAGGGTGGGGCGTCGCCTTAGCCAGGAAGCACAAGGGGTTGGGAGTTTTCTTCGCTACCCAAGGGAAGCCATGACAGTCTGAGCCTAAGGAACTCCGGCACAGATACTACGCTTGTCCCATGGTCTTCACAACTCACAAACCAGTAGATTCCCTGTGGTGCCTACCCCAACAGGGCCCCGGTTTTAAGCACAAAACTGGGCTGCCATTTGGGCAGACACTGAACTAGCTGCAGGAGTTATTTTTTTCCATACCCCAGTGGTGCCTGGAACGCTGCCAGCAAGACAGAACCATTCACTCCCCTGGAAAGGGGTGCTGAAACCAGGGAGCCAAGTGGTCTGGCTCGGTAGGTCCCACCCACAATGGAGCCCAGCAAACTAAGATCCACTGGCTTGAAATTCTCACTGCCAGCACAGCAGCAGTCTGAGATCAACCTGAGATGCCCCCCGCTTGGTGGGGGGAGGGGCGTCCACCATCACTGAGGCTTGAGTAGGCGGTTTTATGCTCACGGTGTAAACAGCCACTGGGAAGTTCCAACTGGGTGGAGTCCACTGTGGCTCAGCAAGGTTGCTGTGGCCAGATTGCCAGATTTCTCTTCTCTGGGTAGGGCATCTCTGATAAAAAGTTAGCAGCCCCATTCAGGGTCTGATAAATAAAACCCCCATCTCCCTGGGACAGAGCACCTGGGGGAAGGGGCAGCTGTGGGCACAGCTTCTGCAGACTTAAATGTCCCTGCCTGATGGCTCTGAAGAGAGGAGCAGACCTCCCAGCACAGCATTCAAGGTCTGCTAAGGGTCAGACTGCCTCCTCAAGTGGATCCCTGACCCCTGTGTATCCTGAGTGGGCGATGCCTCTCAGTAGTGACTGACAGACACCTTATACAGGAGAGACCTGGCTGGCATCTGCCAGGTGCCCCTCTGGGATGAAGCTTCCAGAGGAAAGATCTTTGCTGTTCTGCAGCCTCTGCTGGTGATATCCAGGCAAACAGGGTCAGGAGTGGACCTCCACCAACTCTAGCAGACCTGCAGCAGATGGGCCTGACTGTCAGAAGGAAAACTAATAAACAGAAAAGAATAGCATGTCCTCTCAAAGACCCCATCCAAAGGTTACCAACATCAAAGACCAAAGGTAGATAAACCCACAATGATGGGGAGGAACCAGCTCAAAAAGACTGAAAATTCCAAAAACCAGAATTTCTCTTCTACTCCAAAGAATCACAACTCCCCACCAGCAAGGGAATAAAACTGGACAAAGAATGAGTTTGATGAATTAACAGAAGTAGTCCTCAGAAGGTGGGTAATAACAAACTCCTCTGAGCTAAAAGAGCATGTTCTAATCCAACGCAAGAAAGTTAAGAACCTTGAAAAAAGGTTAGACAAATTTCTAACTAGAATAACCAATATAGAGAACATAAATGACCTGATGGAGCTGAAAAATACAGCACGAGAACTTCATGAAGCATACACAAGTTTCAATAGCCGAATCAATCAAGTGGAAGAAAGGATATCAGTGACCTTAGAACAACTAAATGAAATAAAGAGAGAAGACAAGATTATTAAAAAAAAAGAATAAAAAGGAATGAACAAACTCTCCAAGAAATATGGGACGATGTGAAAAGACCAAATCTACATTTGATTGGTGTACCTGAAACTGATGAGGAGAATGGAACCAAGTTCTAAAGTACTCTTCAGGATATTACCCAGGAGAACTTCCCCAACCTAGCAAGACAGGCCAACGTTCAAATTCAGGAAATACAGAGAACAGCACAAAGATACTCCTCAAGAAGAGCAACCCCATGACACATAATTGTCAGATTCACTAAGGTTGAAATGAAGGAAAAAAAGTTAAGGACAGCCCAAGAGAAAGGTCGGGTTACCCACAAAGGGAAGCCCATCAGACTAACAGCAGATATCTCTGCAGAAACCCTACAAGCCAGAAGAGAGTGGGGGTCCATATTCAACCTTCTTAAAGTGAAGAATTTTCAACCTAGAATTTCATATCCAGCCAAACTAAGCTTCATTAAGCAAAGGAGAAATAAAACCCTTTGCAGACAAGCAAATGCTGAGAGACTTTGTCACCACCAGTCTTGCCTTACAAGAGCTCCTGAAGGAAGCACTAAACGTGGAAAGGCACAACCAGTACCAGCCACTGCAATAACATACCAAATTGTAAAGAACATGGACATTATGAAGAAACTGCATCAACTAATGGGCAAAGCGAGCATCATAATGGCAGAATCAGATTCACACATAACAGTATTAACTTTAAATATAAATGGGCTAAATGCTCCAATTAAAAGAACAGACTGGCAAATTGGATAAAGAGTCAAGACCCATCAGTGTTCTGTGTTCAGGAGACCTATCTCATGTGCAAAGACACACATAGACTCAAAATAAAGGGATGGAGGAATATTCACCAAGCAAATGGAAAGAAAAAAAATGTAGAAGTTGCAAAACTAATCTCTGATAAACAGACTTTAAACCAAAAATGTTAAAAGATACAAAGAAGGGCATTACATAATGGTAAAGGGATCAATGCAACAAGAAGAGCTAACTATCCTAAATACATATGCACCTGATACAGGAGCACCCAGATTCATAAAGCAAGTTCTTAGAGACCTACAAAAAGATTTAGGCTCCCACACAGTAATAGTGGGAGACTTTAACACCCTACTGTCAATATTGGACAGATCAATGAGACAGGATATTAACAAGGATATTCAGGACTTTAACTCAACTCTGGACCAAGCAGACCTAATAGACATCTACAGAACTCTCCACTCCAAATCAACAGAATATACATTCTTCTCAGCACATCATCACACGTATTCTAAAATTGACCACATATTTGGAAGTAAAACACTCCTCAGCAAATGCAAAAGAATGGAATTCATAACACACAGTCTCTCAGACCACATTGCAATTAAATTAGAACTCAAGATTAAGAACTCACTCAAAACCACAAATCTACATGGAAACTGAACAACCTGATCCTGAATGACTATTGTGTAAATAATGAAATGAAGGCAGAAATAAATATATTCTTTGAAACCAAGGAGAATGAAGACACAACATACCAGAATCTCTGGCACACATTTAAAGCAGTGTGTAGAGGGAAATTTATAGCACTAAATGACCACAAGAGAAAGCAAGAAAGATCTAAAATTGATACCCTAACATCAAAATTAAAAGAACTAGAGAAGCAACAACAAACAAATTAAAAAGCTAGAAGAGGGCAAGAAATAACTAAGATGAGAGCAGAACTGAAGGAGATAGAGACACAAAAACCCCTTCAAAAAATCAATAAATCCAGGAGCTGGTTTTTTGAAAAGATCAACAAAAAAGATAGTCCACTAACAAGACTAATAAAGAAGAAAAGAGAGAAGAATCAAATAGACACAATAAAAAATGATATAGGGGATATCACCATTGATACCACAGAAATACAAACTACCATCAGAGAATACTATAAACACGTCTATGCAAATAAACTAGAAAATCTAGAAGAAATAGATAAATTCCTGGACACATACACCCTCTGAAGTCTAAACCAGGAAGAAGTTGAATATCTGAATAAACCAATAACAAGTTCTGGAATTTAGGCAGTAATTAAAAGCCTACCAACTAAAAAAAGTCCAGAACCAGATGGATACACAGCCAAATTCTACCAGAGGTACAAAGAGGAGTTGCTACCATTCCTTCTGAAAATATTCCAAACAATAGAAAAAGAGGGAATCCTCCCTAAGTAATTGTATGAGGCCAGCATCATCTTGATTCCAAAACCTGACAGATACACATGAACAACAAAAAAATTTCAGGCCAATATCCCTGATGAACATTGACGTGAAAATACTCAACAAAATATTTGCAAACCAAATACAGCAGCACAGCAAAAAGCTTATCCACCAGGATCAAGTCAGCTTCATACCTGGAATGCTAGGCTGGTTCAAGATATGCAAACCAATAAACGTAATCCATCACATAAATAGAACCAACGACCAAAACCACATGATTATCTCAATAGATGCAGAAAAGGTCTTTGACAAAATTCAACAGCCTTCATGCTAAAATCTCTCAATAAACTAGGTATTGATGGAATGTATCTCAAAATAATAACAGCTATTTATGACAAACCCACAGCCAATATCATACTAAATGGGCAAAAACTGAAAGCATTCCCTTGGAAAACTGGCACAAGACAAGGATTCTCTCTCTCATCACTCCTATTCAACATAGTTTTGGAAGTTCTGGCCCAGGCAATCAGGCAAGAAAAAGGAATAAATGGTATTCAGATAGGAAGAGAGGAAGTCAAATTGTCTCTGTTTGCAGACGACATGATTGTATATTTAGAAAACCCCATCATCTCAGCCCAAAATCTCCTTAAGCTGATAAGCAACTTCAGCAAAGTCTCAGGATACAAAATGAATGTGCAAAAATTACAATATTCCTATACACCAATAACAGAAAAACAGAGAGCCAAATCATGAGTGAACTCCCATTCACAATTGCTACAAAGAGAATTAAATACCTAGGAATACAACTTACAAGGGATGTGAAGGACCTCTTCCAGGAGAACTACAAACCACTGCTCAAGGAAATAAGAGAGGACACAAACAAATGGAAAAACATTCCATGCTCATGGATAGGAAGAATCAATATCATGAAAATGGCCATGCTGCCCACAGTAATTTATAGATTAAATGCTATCCCCATCAAGCTACCAATGACTGTCTTCAAAGAATTGGAGAAAACTACTTTAAATTTCATATGGAACCAAAAAAAGAACCTGCATAGCCAAGACAATCCTGGGCAATCAGAACAAAGCTGGAGGCATCATGCTATCTGACTTCAAACTATACTACAAGGTGGTAGTAACCAAAACAGCATGGTACTGGTACCAAAACAGAGATATAGACCAATGGAACAGAACAGAGCCCTCAGAAATAGCACCACATATCAACAACAATCTGTTCTTTGACAACCTTGACACAACAAGCAATGGGGAAAAATTCCCTATTTAATAAATGGTGCTGGGAAAACTGGCTAGCCATATGCAGAAAACTGAAACTGGACCCCTTTCTTACACCTTATACAAAAATCAACTCAAGATGGATCAATTACTTAAATGTAAGACCTAGGACCATAATAATCTTAGAAGAAAATCTGGGCAATACCATTCAGGACATAGGCATGGGCAAAGATTTCATGTCTAAAACAGCAAAAGCAATGGCAACAAAAGCCAAAATTGACAAATGAGATCTAATTAAACTAAAGAGCTTCTGCATAGCAAAAGAAACTATCATCAGACTGAACAGGCAACCTACAGAATGGGAGAAAAATTTTGCAATCTATCCATTTGACTAAGGGCTAGTATCCAGAATCTACAAAGAAGTTAAACAAATTTACAAGAGAAAAACAGCTCCATCAAAAAGTGGGCAAAGCACACGACTGCACTCCAGCCTGGGTGACAGAGCGAGACTCTGTCTCAGAAAAAAAAAAAAAAAAAAAAAAAAAAAAAAGTGGGCAAAGGATATGAACAGACACTTCTCAAAAGAAGACATTTATGCAGCCAACAGACATGAAAAAATGCTCATTATCACTGGTCATTAGAGAAATGCAAATTAAAACCACGATGAGATACAATCTCACACCAGTCAGAATGGTGATCATTAAAAAGTCAGGAAACAACAGATGCTGGAGAGGATGTGAAGAAATAGGAATGCTTTTACACTGTTGGTTGAAGTGTAAATTAGTCCAATCTTTATGGAAGACAGTGTGGCGATTCCTCAAGGATCTAGAACTAGAAATACCATTTGACCCAGCTATTCCATTATTGGAGATATACCCAAAGGATTATAAATCATTCTACTATGAAGACACATGCACACCTATGTTTACTGTGGCACTACTCACAATAGCAAAGACTTGGAACCAACCCAAATGTCCATCAATGATAGACTGTATAAAACCAACCCAAATGTCCATCAGTGATAGACTGCATAAAGAAAATGTGGCACATATACACTGTGGAATACTATGCAGCCATAAAAAGGATGAGTTCATGTCCTTTGCAGGGGCATGGATGAAGCTGAAAACCATCATTCTCAGCACCCTATCACAAGAACAGAAAACCAAACACCACATGTTCTCACTCATAAATGGGAGTTGAACAATGAGATCACATGGACATAGGAGGGGAACATCACACACCAGGGCCTGTCAGTGGGTCGGGGGTAGGGGAATGATAACATTAGAATACCTAAAGTAGGTGATGGGTTGATGGGTGCAGCAAACTACCATGGTACCTATATACCTAAGTAACAAAACTGCACGTTCCGCACATGTACTCCAGAACTTAAAGTGTAATAAAAAAAAAAGAAAGAAAAGAGAATTTCGGGAGGATGTTCTACAGCCATTCTGAACCTCTTTAGCTACTTAGCTCACACTGCTCTCTTTGTTCTTGAGTTCACAATAGTGTTGTCCTATTTTGTTATGTTTCAGAACTCTAGCTAAGAAGGAGAACACAGGTATCTTCTTCACTTGTTCAAGTCCAGTATACCCGAGAATTCACTATGACTTCTGGGGTTCAGTTTTTAAAAACAAGGCATATACCTTTACCTCAGCAGTACTGCATTTCTGTATTCTGTGATTTTATGCTTTCATGGCCCAGGTCAATTTTGATGAGAAGCAGAATAAAATTTTCTATAAGATTTTTTTTAAACATATACTCAATGTACCAAGATCTGGTTTTTGAAGGACGTATTACAATAATATGACAATGTTATTCTCTACCACTATAAAAGTCAACAACTTCATCCTGAAATAATGAATATCATGGAGCAGTATTAATTATAGGAATAAAAAAAACACATCAATATACACATTTTATAAATATATGTATATATGTATGTGTGTACTTGTATATTATTTACATATATAAATATATAGGTATATATGTATATAACAGTTATATGTATATAGCCTATATACATATAGGCTATATACGTATATAGGCTATATACATATAGGCATATACGTATATAGGCTATATACATATAGGCATATACGTATATAGGCTATATACATATAGGTATATACGTATATAACAGTTATATATATATGTATGTATATCTAACTGTTATGAGGCAATTGGCAAAATTCTTATTTCAGGTTAGGAGCTTAGCATTTTCCAATATATATCATATATTTTTGGCATTTTAGCAGAGACTTTTAGTTAAATAATCACTTTAGATATTATAGTTAGAAACCTGAGCTGAGCAGATATATTCAAGGCAATTTTCTCACACTAAAATTGGTCAAAAAAGATAAATAGCACCTTTAAAAAATATTATTTGTAAAGAAAATTATATCGTGGTGCATGTCATAATTTTAAAACATTTTATTTATATCTTTATTATAAAATCATAGGCTCAATAAATAGGATCTTTATCAGTTTCTAAATTAAGAAATAAAATATTTTACTTAAAAATACAAAAACAAAATGGAAACATTGTTACTGATATAAAGTATATTGGAGAATCTGGCTTGGTTGTGAAAACTAAAAGGGCTTGCTGATCATCTACTCTCCAGTGCAAAACTTGAGGCAGCCCACTGAAAGATAGATTGACTCGACAAAGCAGATATTCTTTTCTAGGTCACTGCCTTTAATAGGTCAAGATTTTTCCCATGTTCAAAATTTAAAGAGATTTATTTCCCTAAATAAAGAAACATAAACAAATGCTACCTGCTACCACCATCATTAGGTCACTTGCTCCAACACTATCTACAGAAAAAAAAAAAAAAAAAGAAGGATTTTGTCAGAATCCAAAGAGAATCCCTCCACTTTGAATGGGGAAGGAGTGGCATGGTGACTTTTTAATAAGGTAACTAGAGGGCTGAATTACATTTCCCAGAATTCCCTTTTCATTATGTTTTCAATAAGGGTGAAAAACACGAGAGATTCTTTGGAGATTTGGAGGGCTAGGGGAATCAGCAGCCATTTTGTAATTTATACACACAGTTGCTAACCTGATGACTTACCTGT
This sequence comes from Homo sapiens, assembly GCF_000001405.40. Lineage (NCBI taxonomy): Eukaryota > Metazoa > Chordata > Mammalia > Primates > Hominidae > Homo > Homo sapiens. The sequence continues at coordinate 67,292,891 of NC_000006.12, read as the reverse complement.
GTCTGAAAGAAGTAGCAGAGCCTCCAGATGCTTTTATCTTCCCCTAGATCCTTGTTAGACCTCTCTGGGTACTGGTCTAGGTGTGAGTGCTTATTTCTGTGTCTAAACAGCTACTGCAGAATAGACTAGTTACCAGGGTCAACAACATAAAAAACTGACACAGGTTTCAGTCTTTTTTTTGTGGGGTTCCAGACCAAGCATGTGGCATTCATGCTGACCTCAGTTTACCCTCACTTTACCCTTCTTGCTTTCTGACTGCCTACCCCGTGGATTTCAAGGTCAAGCAACAAACAAAGAGACAGGATGCTTTCAGGGATGGTTTAACAAGCTCTGCTAATATCTTGAGGACAATTCCCTGCAAGGAATTGCCTTAAGGATTTTTGTTTTCTGACATTCTCAGGTATTTGACCTCGCAACTTATTGGTTTAAACCTTGAATTACTGTTCAGCCAGATATATGACCATCATTCTGGGTATTGCAGTCTATCAGTCTCCCATCTTCATTGTGTTTGCACTTACAGGCTGTCCCTTGTGACTGTTTTATAAGACTGTTTTTGAGCCTACAAAGTTTTGTCCTCGTAGATCAAACAATGAAATAGGCATATCTACTACAAGAATATATTGAATTCAGATTTAAAAGTTCTCTTCCTATTTTTGTTGTTCTCTAAAAGATGTCTATCTGCATTGCACAACATAGCCAATCACATGTGCTATTAACAATAAAATTAAATATAATCAGAAATATACTTCAATAATCAAATATTATAGATATCAAAAATAAACTGTCAAAAGCATACTGCGGCCTCACATTTTCACACAACGTTCCATTTTCTAATTGCTAGAGAGATATTAAAATCTCCAATTAAATTCCTTTGCAAGTCAAGCCCTGGAGGTTGAAAAAATTAAAAGACAAAATCAGATTTTTTTGATCTTTTGAGTTAAAATTCCAAAGGAATTAAACTCAATTTAAAAAAAAAAATTCTGCTCAGTCTAACCTCAGGAATTTTCTCTTCCAGAGTGGAGCTGATATTTCTTCAGCATTCCCCATCTACTGCATGAATATGTATCCTTTAGGACCTCTGCAGGTAAATTAGATCAATGTCATGTGTACGACATGCCTCCTTTTAAAATAAGTATTATAGATTACTAGAGAGCACAGTAGTGGCCCAGCAGTCTCTGTTCACCTGTTACTCTTAGACAGCAAGTCAATACTTAGTGTTTTAGACGTTGTTCCGACCTAATTTATTTTTATATCATATAATATTAAGTATTGTCCAAGATGAATGTTGAGATTTAGTGGTATCTGAGGACCAAAGGATCAATGGAGTGCTCAATTTTACTCTTGAGAGAAAGGCAGTCAGTTTTGTCATTATTCTTATGCCATATCCTGTGAAAATAATTTCAATTGAGGGAAATATCTCTGTAGAAGCTGATCTTGGCTCTGTGCATTAATTGTATCTAGGAAATTCTTTCTATGCAGAGTGTCTTCTTTCTCAGGAAATGAAATTCAAAACATTCTTTAAAAGTAAAGGTATTTCTAAAGTTATAATTGCCAGGCACAGTGTTATTAGGGTTTTGCTCTGCCGCTCAGACTGAAATGCGGTGACATGATCATAGCTCACTGCAGCCTTAAACTCTGAGGCTGAAGCAATCCTCCTGCTTCAACCTCACAAGTGACTGGGACTATAAGGGCACACCACTTCTCAAGGATAATTTAAAAAAATATGTAGAAATAGAGTCTTGGCTTGTTGCCCAGGCTGGTCTTGAACACCTGGCTTCAAACAATCCCTCCCACCTCCACCTCCCAAAGTGCTGGGATTACAGGTGTGAGCCACTGTGCCTGGCTCAGGTGCCAAGTGTTTTTGGTTGTTGTTTGTTTGTTTGTTTCCAGGCTGGAGTGCAGTGGTGTGTTCTCTGCTCACTGCAACCTCCGCCTCTCAGGTTCAAGCAATTCTCCAAGCACAAGGTTTTATTGAGGTTTCTTTCTTTCCTAACTTTTCTTTGTTTTTTTTTTTGTCATAGAAATCTATTTATTAACATGGAAATATGATCACAATGCATTATGTGAAAAAGATTATAAAATAGTATGCGGAGTATGATCCTGTTGGATTCTTTTATGTGTGTGTATATATATATATATATATATACACACATCAAGTATATATATAGTATATGTGTATATATATACATAAAGTATATACTTAAAGTATATATATATATTAAGTTCTATGGTACATGTGCATAACATGCAGGTTTGTTACATATGTATACATGTGCCATGTTGGTGTGCTGCACCTATTAACTTGTCATTTACATTAGGTATATCTCCTAATGCTATCCCTCCCCACTCTCCCCACCCCACAACAGGCCCCGGTATGTGATGTTCCCCACCCTGTGTCCAAGTGTTCTCATTGTTCAATTCCCACCTATGAGTGAGAACATGAGGTGTTTGGTTTTCTGTCCTTGTGATAGTTTGCTGAGAATGATGGTTTCCGGCTTCATCCATGTCCCTACAAAGGACATGAACTCATCATTTTCTATGGCTACATAGTATTCCATTTTCTATATGTGCCACATTGTCTTAATCCAGTCTATCATTGTTGGACATTTGGATTGGTTCCAAGTCTTTGCTATTGTGAATAATGCCGCAATAAACATATGTGTGCATGTGTCTTTATAACAGCATGATTTATAGTCCTTTGGGTATATACCCAGTAATGGGATGGCTGGGTCAAGTGGTCTAGTTCTAGATCCTTGAGGAATCGCCACACTGTCTTCCACAATGATTGAACTAGTTTACAGTCCCACCAACAGTGTAAAAGTGTTCCTATTTCTCCACATCCTCTCCAGCACCTGTTGTTTCCTGACTTTTTAATGATCACCATTCTGACTAGTGTGAGATGGTATCTCATTGCGGTTTTGATTTGCATTTCTCTGATGGCCGGTGATGATGAGCATCTTTTCATGTGTCTGTTGGCTGCATAAATGTCTTCTTTTGAGAAGTGTCTGTTCATATCCTTCACCCACTTTTTGATGGGTTGTTTGATTTTTTTCTTGTAAATTTGTTTAAGTTCTTTGTAGATTCTGGATATTAGCCCTTTGTCAGATGAGTAGAATCTAAAAATTTTCTTCCATTTTGTAGGTTGCCTGTTCACTCTGATGGTAGTTTCTTTTGCTGTGCAGAAGCTCCTTAGTTTAATTAGATACCATTTGTCTATTTTGGCTTTATGAAGTCCTTGCCCATGCTTATGTCCTGAATGGTATTGCCCAGATTTTCTTCTAGGGTTTTTATGGTTTTAGGTCTAACATTTAAGTCTTTAATCCATCTTGATTTAATTTTTGTATAAGGTGTAAGGAAGGGATCCAGTTTCAGCTTTCTACAAATGGCCAGCCAGTTCTCCCAGCAACATTTATTAAATAGGGCATCCTTTCCGCATTTCTTGTTTTTGTCAGGTTTGTCAAAGAACAGATGGTTGTAGATGTGTGGTATTATTTCTGAGGGCTCTGTTCTGTTCCATTGGTCTGTATATCTGCTTTGGTACCAGTGCCATGCTGTTTTGATTACTGCTGCCTTTAAGTATAGTCTGAAGTCAGGTAGCGTGATGCCTCCAGCTTTATTCTTTTGGCTTAGGATTGTCTTGGCAATGTGGGCTCTTTTTTGGTTCCATATGAACTTTAAAGTAGTTTTCTCCAATTCTGTGAAAAAAGTCATTGGTAGCTTGATGGGGATGGCATTGAATCTATAAATTACCTTGAGCAGTATGTCCATTTTCATGATATTGATTCTTCCTATCTATGAGCATGGAATGTTCTTCCATTTGTTTGTGTCCTCTTTTATTTCATTGAGCAGTGGTTTGTAGTTCTCCTTGAAGAAGTCCTTCACTTCCCTTGTAAGTTGGATTCCTAAGTATTTTATTCTCTTGGAAGCAATTATGAATGGGAGTTCACTCATGATTTGGCTCTCTGTTTGTCTGTTATTGGTGTATAGGAATGCTTGTGATTTTTGCACATTGATTTTGTATCCTGAGACTTTGCTGAAGTTGCTTATTAGATTAAGGAGATTTTGGGCTGAGACGATGGGGTTTTCTAAATATACAATCATGTCATCTGCAAACAGGGACAATTTAACATCCTCTTTTCCTAATTCAATACCCTTTATTTCCTTCTCCTGCCTGATTGCCCTGGCCAGAACTTCCAACACTATGTTGAATAGGAGTGGTGAGAGAGGGCATCCCTGTCTTATGCCAGTTTTCTTACTCCCTTAATTTCCATTTTTGTTACATCATTTGCACTGAGGGTGAAGAAAAGATAAAAGTAAGAGTATAGCTTCTGTCTATCATTGGTTAAATGTTTGTTCACTGGTAACCTCCCCTGCTCTTGAAGATGTCTATTGCTAGCCATTGATAGAATCCTACAGAATTTTCCTACCTTGAGTAAAGTCCGGATAGAGACAAAAGACAGAAAACAAGCATGAGATGATACACTGTAGGATGTGCCTTAGGTCAGTTGAATATCTTGCAGAGTTATCTTCTACCTTGCTACCATAACAAATATTAGAAAGATTTATATATAAATCCTTTTATGTGGAGTTGCTGTATATACATATATATGTGTATATGGCAGTGATGCAACAATTGATGTCTCCAAGATGCACCAATGAAACAGTAAAATATACTTCTTAACAGAAGATACTTATTTTTGTTTTATTTGCAAGAGAGAAGATTGAAATATTTGATTTTATATTTCATCAAATGAACAAATTTAAAATCAAATAATCTTCTAACTGAAGAACTCACACAAGCCTATAGGTTTTTCTCCCTTACTTACAACAATTCAGTGAGGAAATTATTATTTTTTTCCCAAAATTTATTTTTTTTTATTATACTTTAAGTTCTCGGGTACATGTATGAAGAAGCAGAGCCCTGATGAAGTTCAACAAGTTGTCCAAGGTCACACAGCCAGGAAGTGTTAGAAGCAGGATTTAATTGCCAGCAGTCTTTCTCCAAAGTATGACCTTTAAACCAATATGTTATACAGCCCCATGAATAAAAAAAAAATCTTCCTTGAAAAAAGGAAAACATTGAAACATTCAGACTCTGGTAAAGATTATGACTCATGTGCATAGGAAAATTCCAAATTATGTCACATCTTTTGACAAGCTCTAGCATCAGTTCTGAGAAATTACTTGTATATACTATACATCTGTGTTCACTAAGAAAAACATGTACTTTATTGACATTTTCAAAATGGCATGGTTTTAAAATCTCTATTGCAAATGGACAGGCCAGAAATTAATGAGGTATTAAGATAGTTAATGCAGGCAATGCTACAAGCTCTTTAAAAGGACCAACACCATTGTTAGTAGATCAGTTATGCAAGTTTGGCCATGTACATCTGTTGATTTGCCAGATAGCTAATTAAAATGTGTTACAGCCATTAAGTGTTTAAAGGCACATTTTATGATTCCGTAAAATGTCATTTATCTAGTTTAAGCCATACTTGTTTTGATCTGCCACACAAAAATCACTAAAGGCCCATATTTTGCATATAAATTTAGCTCTAAAAAAGATGTGCTTTCCTTTTGACCTTAGTTTGAATGGAATAGCATCTATTTTGACTGACATGACAGTGGACAAAGAATGGCATGCTTGATACATTGATATTGATTCTTTATCAGGACTTTTTTTTTGTTTCAGTGTTGTTTTTATTTTACGTTCAGGGGTACATGTGCAGGATGTGCAGGTTTGTTACATAGGTAAACGTGTGCCATGGTGGTTTGCTGCACAGATCATCCCATCACCCAGGTATTAAGCACAGCATCCATTAGCTATTCTTCCTGATGCTCTCTCCCTCCTTCCACACCCCACCCCTGACAGGCCCCAGTATGTATTGTTTTCCCCAACGTGTCCATGTGTTCTCATCATTCAGCTCCCACATGCGGTATTTGGTTTTCTGTTCCTGCGTTAGTTTGCTGAGGATAATGACCTCCAGCTCCATCCATGTCCCTGCAAAGGACATGATATTGTTCCTTTTTATGGCTGTATAGAGTCAGGACATATTTTTATGTCTATATAGGTAATTGTGCTTAATATGACAAAAATTTTCATAACATTATGATCTAACATTTATTGCATTTTGATATGTACCAGGAATATTTAATTTCTTAATATATTATATGTTGGATTACTTGATACTTAGGAAAACCTTTGGAGTATGTTTCTTGACATCTACATTTTTCAAATGAGGCAAAATGGTTTAATATCACACTGTAAGTAGGTGAAAGATTCAAGAAGACTAACCTGGGCAGCCAATATCCGTAGCCTTAACCATTTCCTTTTACTGTCTTTCAGTTTTTCTGATAGGAATCAACTTTAATTTTCTAAGGGAACCATAAAAATAAACTAAATTTTCTGTAACCACAGTAAACTCACTAACCTTATTTAAGCTTTTCAAGATATTTGAAAAGATTGTTTAATCTAATCCTATTATTCTAAGGATATCCCCACTAAAGCTAGAAAAAAAAACTATGCAGTTCATTCTTCTAATTTGAGGGCCAGCAATGCTTTGAATCTAGGCAGGAATATTTAGTTTGGTTCATAGCCATGATGATTCAAGGAATCAAGGCTGTTTTACATAATCATGCTATAGAAGGCAAAGAACAGTCAGGCTTTGTCTTATTAAAGAGGTTTAAAGTTAGGACAAAATTAATTCAAATTTGGAAACATCTCTTCTCTTCTCCAACTCTTACCTGTTCTCCCAAAGGTATAATTTTTTTTAAGCTAAAAAACAAGAATTCACTATTTTGCTTAGGAAATATTTATATGTAGTGAAGTTTCAAAATTAATTAACTCAACCATCTTCACTTGGAAAGATAGTTTATTTCCAACAATATTATTTCCAACAGGAATTTAATATTGCACAATATACTCTCAACTGTGAGGTAATATTAAAACTCCTAAAATTAACTTCTTTAATTTTACATGTTTAGTTTGACAAACATAGAATTAAATAGAAGAAAATGATTGCATTTCTCCATTCCTTCCTTTTATTCTTTGCTTTTTACCTAATGAGATAAAGAAGTAATGTGTGTGTTCCCAATCTCAGCCATATGTTGCCTTTTCCCCTAATTTTCTGGAAGGTGGATTCATATACATTTGCCCACATTTTTGCAATCACATACAGAGTTTTTGGCCCTGTGGTTGGACTTTGGAAACATACCTAATCTGTTTTTGCTGTATACAAAAAGCCTCAAATCTAAAACCTTAGAGGAAAGAAACACGTGTGCATGTATGCAAATGCATACACATAAGCATACGTGCGTGCATACATACATACAAACATACATTTTCCTATAAAAAATTGTCAAGAAAAAGAAAATCAATGTGACTTGATTTTTGGTTGTTTCTTTCTAATATGTTGATGCCAGGTGAAATGAATGGCTTCAGCATCGCACCTCGTGTCTTGGGTCGTCTTGAAGAAGAGTAAGGATGAGAAATACTATAAGAAACAAATTTTTTTTAACAGTGCATTTGCTTGTAAAATTTCCTTAGAGGGGCATACAGTTAGAAGAATGTATTCATAAGTAGTTGCTAGTGGTTTGAACTCATGATGGAGCACTTGGAAAAACAGATGGAAAGACTGCTAGTAAGATGGAATGGAGAAAAATCATGTGAATAAACATTCTTGAATAAGGGAGTGGGTATGTGGCTATTTATTTTTAATGAGAATGCTCAGCACAGTAGCAGAAGAGGTTTTCAATAAGTCAAGATAATCTTTTCTGTTCATGTCTGCCATATTCTTTTCTTACCCAGTGATTGTTCAATGGGCTAAAGGAAAATACGGTTTATGCATTGGCTTAAATTATAGATTTCACCTCACCAAAACTGATCTTACTACTATTGATGGCTTCTATCTGTCAGCAGAAGAGACCAAAGCTGAAAACATTCCCAGTGGGACAGGCCAGCCACCCAACAGCATGTTGATTAGATTAGAGATGCAGAGTTAATGCTGTGTCTTCACTGAAACGTACACTCCGTTCATATGTAGTTATACTTCTCCTGCCGGTAATCCTTCTGCCTGTACAACAACCTATGGACTTCCTAAATGCCATATTCACTATCCTTATAACCAAAAGAGCATTATTTCTGTATGTAAGTTATTTTATAACAAAATAAATGAGAAAGTGAGAAAAATCTCACACCATTGGATTTACCAGTCCATCCATGTATAGTATATCATCCAGAGGTCGTTGGACAGCTAGATGGGTGAAATGGTCTAATGAAGACTCATTGATGGCACTTGCTGGGAGAAGTTGGTGTTCTTCAACAAAAAGTGGAATATACTCTTTTTACAAAATTATTTTACTTTAAGTTCTGTGATATTTATGCTGAATGTACAGGTTTGTTACATAGGCATGCATGTGGCATGGTGGTTTGCTGCATCTATCAACCCGTAATCTAGGTTTTAAGCCCCACATGCATTAGCTAGTTGTCCTAATGCTCTCCCTCCCCTTCCCCTCCCCCAACAGTTCCTGGTGTGAAATGTTCCCCTTCCTGTGTCCATGTGTTTTTATTGCTCAGCTCCCCCTTATGAGTGAGAACATGTGATGTTTTGGTTTTCTATTCCTGTGTTAGTTTGCTGAAGATGATGGTATCCAGCTTCATCTATGTTCCTACAAAGGACATGAACTCATTCTTTTTTAAGGCTGTATAGGATCCCATGGTGTATATGTGCCACATTTTCATTATGCAGTCTATCTTTGATGGGCATTTGGGTTGGTTCCAAGCATTTGCTATTGTGAATAGTGCAGCATAAAACATACTTGTGCATGTGTCTTTGTAGTAGAATGATTTATAATTCTTTGGGTGTCTACCCAGTAATGGGTTGCTGGGTCAAATGGTATTTCTGGTTCTAAATCCTTTAGGAATTGCCACACTGTCTTCCACAACTGTTGAACTAATTTACACTCCCACCAAAAGTGTAAAAGCATTTTTCTGCATCCTTGCCAGCATCTGTTGTTTCCAGACTTTTTAATGATTGCCATTTTAACTGCCGTGAGATGGTGTCTCATTGTGGTTTTGATTTGTATTTCCCTAATGACCAGTAATAATGAGACTTTTTTCATATGTTTGTTGGCCACATAAATGTCTTCTTTTGAAAGTGTCTGTTCATATCTTTCGCCCACTTTTTGATGGGGTTGTTCGTGTTTTTCTTGTAAATTTGTTTAATTTCCTTGTAGATTCTGGATATTAGACCTTTGACAGATGGGTTGCAAAATTTTCTCCCATTCTGTGGATTGCCTGTTCACTCTGATGGTAGTTTATTTTGCTGAGCAGAAGTTCTTCAATTTAATTAGATCCCATTTGTCAACTTTGGAATATGTGATGCCATTACTCCATTAACCAGAACACATGGATCAAGAAAATCAGGAATGGAAGAAAGGGTTCATCTCTCCATTATTTCTAAGAAACCATATAAATATGTGTGTATGCATATTGTTTCCGGTTACTAAGATCTGTAACTCTTAGAAACTTTCTTTCTTCTAAAGAGAAGAACTTTCTTTCTTCAAAAAAGAAGAAAATCTTTTCAGAGCACAGATTCATGCTTTTATTGAACTTGAAATGAGCCACTTCCATTTGGCTATGTTGGGCTCTCCTTCCATAACTACAACAGACTAGCCATACAGGCTAATCTTATTATAAATAGTTGATGCTAAATACGAGGGACAGGAGGAATATATTAAGAAACCATGGATTCAGGGAAAGTTGTTCTTAATATTTTCATGTTCAGTAGTAAAAGTCAATAAAAAATAAGTAAGGCCCAATCTAGGCATGATGAATAAAAACTAAATCTTCAGTTGGGATTACCCCATTAGACAAATCTCTAAGACTAACTGAGGTGTTTGCTGAGATGTTAACTGAGATTAAAGCAAGCCTGGGATGCGTATTGAAAGAAGGTCATAAATACCAAATACTGCTTCATGACTGGCTAGGGAATGAGAACTGTAATAGTTAAATTATTCCTTGATTTTTATATAGCTATTTTAATAAATATTAATCAAGAATATATTTTCTTGCCCTTTCTATTATTTTATAAATGATCTGATGGTATAATTACCTTTATAATTATATCTTTAAGTTACAGATATCAGAAGAGAGGTTGTGTTTATCTAGAAGCAGCAGCAAATGATAGATGAGTCCTGGGTTCTCCCTTTTGCAAAGGTAATAAGCAACATCCTTAAACAAGGTATAATTATATCATGTTAGGAAGGAGCATGATGTGGTTGCTATTATTTTTATTTGTAGATTAAATTTAGATAGAAAGGCGTATTTGGTTCTTGAATTGGCAAGATGACGGACTTTCTCAGATTGACATTTTATCACTTGGAAATCATTCCTACTTCCTTCTTTACTGTCATCTACAGAATAGTAGCAAGACCTGAGGACTTATTTCTAGAATATCTCAACCATAGGATTCTAATGTGATATTTAGAATGTAAATGACAGTAAGAAAACAACTTTTTTTATTTCCCCAGTGGTAGTACTAAGACAATATTTAGGTACAATATAGATGTGAGGATTGCATTGAATTGAAACATTTCTCAGGTGAGTTAGCCACATCAGTGCTGCAAGTACCAGAGATCATCTCCAGCATTTTTTCAACCTTTCTACAATTTTCTAATGTCCTGAAAGTGATTTTCCATGAATATTTTCTTACAAACTGTCAATTACTTTTTATTATTAATTTTATTTTTGTTATATTTGTGTATGTATTTACTATATGTATACATGCATTACATGTTTATATGTACCATTTAAAATGCTTATATGTAGCCACTATTTCCAAAATTTTAATAATCACTACAAACAAACTTTGTAAGCATTAAGTAATAACTCCTCATTCTCTCCTTTCTCCTGCCTGTGCTAAACTCTAATCTATTTCTGTATTTAGGAATTAGCCTATCCTAGATATTTCATAAAAGTGGAATCACAAATTTGGTCCTTTTGTGTCTGGCTTATTTAATTTATCATAATGTTTCCATGTTTAATACCTCTTTTAGCATGTATCAGAACTTTGTTTTTATGGATAAATGATATCTTATTATTTATGTAGCATACTTTGTTTATCCATTAATCTGTTGATGGGCTTTGAGTTGTTTTCACATTTTAACTACAGTGATAATTATACAGTGACTATTGATGTACAAGTATCTGTTTGAGTTTCTGTTTTCAGTTATTTTGGATATATACTAAGAAATTGAATGCCAAATTATGTTAATTCTATATTTTGCTTTTCAAAAAACTAGAAGACTGTTTCCCACAGCAACTGCAACATTTTACATTCCCATTATCTCTGTATGCAGGTTGCAATGTCTCCACATCCTTGATATGTTTGTTATTTTCTGTTTTTCCTTAAACTAATTATAGTCACCCTAGAAACTATTACATGATAATTCATTGTGGTTTACATGTGGATTTCCTTGATAAGAAAATATGTTTGTTAAGCAGCTTTACGTGTGCATGACTGGTCACTTGTTGATTGTTTTTGCATAAATGTCTCTTCAAGTCCTTTGCCAGTTTTTAATGTTTGTCTTTTTATTGTTGATTGTAGTTGTTCTTTATATTCTGAATAGTAAGCCCTTTTAGACATATGATTTCCAATTTTTTTTCACAGTATAGTTTATCTTTTTACATTTTTGATAACATCCTTTGAGGTGTAAAAGTTTAATTTTGATGAAGTCCAATTTATCTATTACTAATTTTTGCCCCTCATGCTTTTGGTGTTATATTTAAGAATCCATTGTTAAATCCAAATCATCAAGGTATATTGCAATTTTTTTAATGGATTTATTTACTTAGCAGTGATCAGTTCTGATGTATTATTTGTATATGGTGTTAGGTAGAGAATCAACTTCATTCCTGTACATGTGGAAATTCAATTGTCCAAACACCATTTTTTAAAAAGACCTTTCTTTCCCCATTGATTGGACTGGGAGCCCCTGTCAAAAAAATCTATTGACCATAGATGTATGTGTTAATTTCTGGCCTCTCAATTGTATTCCAATGGCCTGTACAGTAATACCTCCATATTCGTGGAGAATTGGTTCTAGGACACCCTGCAGATACCAAAATCCACTGATGCTCAAGTCCTTTACATAAAATCTGGTAGTATTTGCCTATAACCTATGCACATCCAATGATATACTTAAAATTATTTCTGTATTAATAATAACATATAATACAATGGAAATCCTATTTAAAGAGTTGTTATTCTGTATTGTCTAGGGAAGATTATAAGAAAAATTGTCTGTCTGTACATATTCAGTACATATGTAACTATCAGTTTCTTCCTTAAATATTTTTGATCTATATTTGGTTCATGCTTGTGAAACCACATGATGTCTATCCTTATGCCAATACCACATTCTTTTGATTACTATAACATTGTAGTAAGTTTTGGAGTCAGAGAATATAAGACCATCCCCTTTTTAATTTTATTTTTTCAAGATTGTTTTGGCTAATAGATGCCCCTTACAATTCAACATAAATTTTAGGATTGCTTTTATGAAAAAAGCTATTGGAATATGATAAAGTTGTTTTAAATGTACTTTGGGTAATTTTGATATCTTACTATTAAGTTTTCCTAAATATGAAAAGGAGATGTATTTCCATTTAGTCAGATCTTATTTAATTATGTTCAGCATTGTTTCATAGTTTTCAGTTTACAAGTCTTTTACCTCCTTGGTTAAATTTATTTCTAAATGTTTTATTCCTTTGGATGCTTCAGCAAAGTGAATTATCTTATTAATTTCCTTTCTATATGTTAATTTCTAGTATATAGAAACACACGTGTTTTTGAGTGTAGACCTTTTTTATTAAGTCTAGAAGTTTAGTTTTCTTGTGGATTATTTGGGGAAATCCACACACAGTGTCATTTCCTTTTTAAATATAAATCATTTTTCCCGCTTTTCAATCTGGATGTCTTTTTTAACATTTTTCTTGCCTACTTATTCTGGCTAGAACTACCAGTACAATGTTAAAAATAGCACTAGTAAAAGTAGGCATCCTTGTCTTATTCCTGATTTTAGTAGAAATGTTTTGAATCTTACACCGCTAAGTAGGATGTTAATTGTAGGTTATTTGTAAACGACTTTATCATGCTGATAAAGTTCTCCGTTTCCAAATCTCTGAGTGTTTTTATCATGAATGTTTGGGTTTGTCAAATGTTGCTTATGGTTCAACCAAGGTGACCGTGTTTCTTTTGTTTTATTTCCATGGGTACATTGCTTATTTTCTTACATTGAATTGTGATTGCATTAGTGGCATAAATAACACTTTTTCAAGATGTATAGTTCCATTAATGTGCTATAGAATTTGGTTTTCTAGTATTTTCACTGATAACTTCTGTATCAATTTTCATAAGGCATATTGTTCATGATGTCATTTTGTTGTGATGTCTTTATCTGGCTTTGCATTGAGGGTAATAGTGCATTCATAGAATGAGTTAGAAAGTGTTTACTCCTCTTCTACTTTTTTGGAACAGTTTGATGAGGATTGTTGTTAATTCTTTAAACTTTTCATAGAGTTTACTAGTGAAACCACCTGTTCTGGATTTTTCTTTGTTGGGACCAAATGTTTTTAAGCACTTAATTTCCTGTACTTATGTTTTATAATATTTGAGGTGGTTTGTTTTATGTTATTTGTTTTCTTTTTCTAACTGATGAATGAAGCAGTGACTCCTATTTCATTAACAATAAGGTGATGAATTAAGCTCATAGGAATGATTAAAAGATAGAAAATAATAGCAACACCATATTAAAATGTAGACAAATTCTTCCCTCTGGGAATCTATTTGACTCTTAAATCCATAGAGACAAAACTATGAATGGTTTATTAAACATATTTGAGAAGTAATGCATATGAACGAATGACAACAATGTAATTGGGGTCATATTCTTTATTTATTAGTGAAGTAGCATGGGAAACAAATGAAGATTAGTACATCATTGTGTTCAAATTAACAGGCTTTCAAATGTTTTTATCATCACTTTGTAATCTCATAGATTATTCTTGTTTAAGGCACAAAATGCAATTAATTAAGTCAACACATGTTCTTTATGCATTTCTGATTTAGAGATAAGAAATATTTCTAGTATATGTGAAAGAAACACTCTTTAAAATAAGTGAATTTGAAAGTTTGATCCTGTTGAAAAAACAATGTACTCACATGCTGAGGCAATTTTTCAGCATTTCTAGTTGTTATTTTCAGTGGTAGACAGATTTAAGCACAGCTGAATGAAGAGTTTCCAATAATGCCATGGGACTTGGTTATTGCTATCTGGATTTTTGATTTTGTATTCCCCTATGTATGTTAAATTACTGGGTAGTGATTTCCACATGGTGGATCTGGGCAACTCAAATATGTCACCAGGTCTGGTACATGTAAGAGAAAGAGAAAGAAGCAGTCGATAAGGCATTATGGTCATAAAAAGAAGTTCAAAAATGCATCACTGGCCGGGCACAGTGGCTCACCCCTATAATCCCAGTACTTTGGGAGGCCAGTGCAGGCAAATCACCTGAGGTCAGGAGTTTGAGACCAGTTTGGCCAACATGGCAAAAATCCATCTCTACTAAAAAAACCACAAAAATTAGCCGGTCATCATGGCAGGTGCTCCGGCCATGTGAGGTTCTGGCTTCCCATTCACTTTCCGCCATAACTAGGATTCCTGAGGACTCTCCAGAAGCTGAGCTGATGCTGCCATACTTCTGGTGGAACTGTGAGCCAATAAAACTTCTTTTCTTTGTAAATTACCCAGTCTCAGGTATTTCTTTATATCAATGTAAGAATAGACTAATACAGCATCCAGGTTCACAGTACTTGCTCTCCCAGGCCCTGTAAATACTGTTTTTGTGTTTGTGCCATACCATATCAAACCCCAGCTTTCCATAAAGTTAGGTGAGATACAGTGCCCTGTGCAGCATATGTTCCTTATTCCCAGTGTAAAAATAAATTCAGACTGAATGATGAAGAAGTATTTTAAGAGAGAACTCAACTGTATTTGAGAAGAAAGTTTGGTGTCCCAAGTAAAGTCCATTTTTTTTCTATTGGCCACCTGTAGGAAAGAAAAATAATAGTCTTGAAAGTGATATTATGTACATAAATAGCATAAATAGAATGCAATTATGTTGTTTCTTTTAGACACACAATCCTATCTATGGAAAGACTTAAATTTTAGTTAACCCATCTTTTTGTTCAGGTGCTCTTTTGCCTTTATATGACCTAGAAATGAGGACCTAGAAAGAAGTGACCTTTGTAAATTAATCAACATATGAAAAGCCGGTAATTTTTGTGCCCCAAAAAGATAATAAATGAAATTATGCAGACTCAGCAGATGCCATAGTAAAAAATTAGAACGAGAAAAAAAGTAATAGGGAATTAGTTGTGTAATAGCACATATGTGAATCTCCTGTTTAACCCACAAAATGCCAAGTTGAATCAGTATTGATGCCTAGATTTTGTAAAGTGGACTTAATGTCTAGAATTTTCAGTAAAATTATTATTATTATTATTATTATTATTATTATTATTATTATTATTATTATTTTGACCAAGTCTTGTTCTTGTCGCCCAGGCTGGAGTACAGTGGTGTGATCTTGGCTCACTGCAACCTCTGCACCTCCCAGTTTCAAGCAATTCTCCTGCCTCAGCCTCCTGAGTAGCTGAGATTACAGGTGCGTGCCACCACGCCCGGCTAATTTTTATACTTTTAGTAGAGACAGGATTTCACCATGTTGGCTAGGCTGGTCTGGAACACCTGACATCTGGTGATCTGCCCACCTCGGCCTCTCAAAGTGTTGAGATTATAGGCAGGAGTCACGGCGCCCGGCCTATTAGTTCTTTTCTAAGATATTTGTGAGCAATTAAGAAGTCATTCATAAGGACACCATCCTATTAGTATTGGTTGTAACCATCCAGAAGAAATAGGGTGGACCCACACACACTCATATTTGGTTTGTATATCAAGATTGATGAAAACGCACACACCAAGAGGCCTGAAAAGTTATATTATTTTCATAATAAGGCATTCTGGGAAAAGCACTGCACGGCTCCCAAGATGATCTAATAATGGCTCGAGAAATAGCAAGAAGTGATATATGGCTTGAAATTTTAATGGCGATGATGATGTGAGGCCAGAGTAAGGGTTCTCATGAGCAGGAAGAGCCTGGCATGGTTTGAGTCCCCTGGCGACCAAAGGAAGGAACACCAGATCTTTCTTATTACCTGCTCAGATTTGGGTCAGTAAAGGAAGGGCTAGAGGTAAGGCTTAAAAACCATGAGCAGGCAAACATCAACAAATGGAGTCCGACCCAATTACAGTGTTATTCTACAAATAAGCAACAATATGACTAATAAAAATATTCTTGTTTTATATATAAAAATTAAATTTATGAGAAAGGACAATGATAATACTATGCTAACTATTGAAAATATCATTGAAATGGAAAGTTTTCTATGAACTACAAATCAGCAAATTAAATTCAAAAGCTAAAAGTCTCTATATATCAGCAATCATAAAAGTGAGAAAAAAATACCCTGAATACATAACATCAGGCTAGAATAATGTTCTAGAAAATTTAGATTTCCCCAGTCTTAAGAAATGAGAGCTTACTGTGCTATTAATTTATTTCCACAATCTACACTAAAAGTCTTCCAAATATTTTAATATGCGGCACATAGGCAATAACTAATATCAAGTTAGAATTAAGTTGATGAAAGATCTATGATTAAATTGGGAATGTTTACACTTTTTGAAGAAGAAATAAAGGAGTTCAAGGAGGCAGAGGAAGGTAAATATTACTGAACATGATAGATGTGGTTTTAAATACTTGTATATATTATCTCATTTGACTCTTACGACATCCCTAAGAGTAATTACTATTTTTATTCCCATTTCACAAGTAAATAGACTTGTCCCATGAAATAGAGCTGATAAGGGGTTGAGCCAAGATATGAACACATTTCTAGATGATTCCTGAAATCTCATTGACAATGATCATTGAATGAAAATGGACCTTAAATGATTTTACAAAACATAATAGTTTATGAAGGAATTTTTATAATATGCATCTACTCATTGATATTTTATCTAAAAACATATTTAACTTTATATTTACAGTCATATGCAGACACAGATTAGAGTGAAGATTATAGACAAAATACATAATATATATATATACATACATATAGATTGTGTTTATGTTTGGATATTTGAACTATACACCTTTATTTTATGTTAAAACTACAATTTTTATTTTCACTAATCTACATTTGTTAATATTTTACAATGAACATGTATATTAATGTTTTGTGACAAAACACAATTAAGAAAAAATTAAAAATGGACATGGGTTAAGAGAAAAGATATATAGTACTTGAATAGTTATCAAACTGGACTTTTAATTTGTTGAATTATTGACAAATTAATGAACACAATGATGGACATTAGATGACATTTATCCATAATTTTTAAAACCAAGTGGGAATTTGTAGTTTTATATTTAACGTTGTCCTCATTTTTCAATAGACAGAAGACCCTACATTGTATGAAGAATAATGGGAAGAAAAGTAATTACTTGTAACTCTGGCACACCTCATTAAATTAAATACAGGGATTTTTTTAATCCCTTGATCTGAGTGCTGAATCTTTAGAAAAAATAAAGTATCGGTTACTTGTAGACATTCTATTACAAAAGTCTCATTTTACTGATAAAACAGGTCAGTCCAATTATATTTTTCTTCGTCCTTGCTAACATTTTCTGTATCTGTTAAGGCTTTGCCTTAATTTACTTAATTAACTGAATCTTCCTTTTTTAGGACTCAACAGTTTCTATGCAACAAAAATGATAGAATATATTTGACCTATTACACTTATATTCATTCTAATTAAAATGCACTTACTTCTTTTAAAAGAAAGTTCTTTTTATCCATTATATACCCTCTATTAGACATATATTCTTTTTCTGCATAGACACAGGATTTAATGAGTTATCACAATTTGAAATGGCTATTCATAGGCAATTTTAGTTTAATCAAATATGTCATAAGTTTCAGATTAACTGCTAACCATTAGAACTGTCAGTACAAAATAATTGTAGTAAATTGATACAGGCTTCTCCTGAAATTTTAAATGCCAATATAACAAGTCTTGTAATATTTTTGCCAAGAGTTAGTTGCAATAATTTGTGATCATTACTGACAGATTAGCACGATAAAATATTCAAATTTGTCAAAGGTTTTACATTTTTAGAAATTTAAATCTCTATCCCACTTGTATGTATTTCATAGAAACATACAATTTGTACTCTGCAGTGCTATTGCATCTTTCTAATTTATCTTTCTAAATAAATTGTATAGCTCCTGCTGGTTAGGTCTTTCCTTTATCTCGAGTTCTCTTCTACTGAGGAACTGAATGTTTTGCATACAGTAAGACATGCAGGTTGAAATCAGAGAGCTATCCATTTTTATTATATAATTAGAGCAATAAATGGCAGTAGAATTTCTCATTGAATAGGAAAATGATAAATTAAAAGCTGATACCTCAGATAAGTTTAGTTAAAATTTATTTTGAGTCTAATATCAAATTCATTAAGAATCATTACCTTGGAGACACAAAGCTTTGTTTTCTCCTACTTAATCTATGACATATCATATATTTTGATGAGATATTTGGACCATAATTGTTTATAACTATTATTGTTGAATCTTCTTTCTTGGTTCAGACATTATCTGCTGTTGATTCACCATTCAGTGGCATTTTTGGTTCATTTCTTATTGGTACAAAGGATTTAATTTTTCACAAAACCTCATCTTACCGAGTAAGGTGTGTGTCCCACAGATCTCCCCACTGAATAAAGCTAAGATATAATATCATGTTCTCGTCCACTGCCAGAACAGGATGCAACTCTCCACAAGTCTATCTATCTCCTCAAAGTTTTCTATTTAGTTTAGATTTCTTTTAATGTTTATTAAATAATTTTTAAAAACCGTAATAAAACCAGTGCCTAGTAACGTAAAGGAAATCTTTGGCATTCTCATCACAAAAAGGTAACTATGTGGGGTATTGTAAATACATATATTAATTAGTTTGTTTGGTACAGTCATTTCATAATGTATATGTACATGAAAGCATCACATTTTATATATTAAATATATACTTTTTTGTCAATTATATCATAAAAAGATGAAAATATTTATTTCTCTATCCCAAGGTAATTTAAAAATCTTCACATCATCTTCCTCAAAGTTTTGTACTAGTTAGTGGGGATTTACATCTAATTGGCTTATTTGCTTTGAAAACACCCTTTAAGTAGCACTTCAAAGATTATGGGTTTAACTGATTTATCTTGTTAAGAGAGACAAAGTTTAGAAATGGCAGAAATATTTTTTTAAAGATATATTTGTATGGCCAAGTTTCCATGGTTTCTACACAGTTTTATTTCTTATTCACTATATCTTACAATACTCAATATGTAATCTTAAATATATTCCATATTACTCATATTTTACCTTTTCCATAAGAAATAACTAGATAAGTATATTATCTGAGAAATTCTCCAAACTGAGGCTTTGTCTAGCACTCTCTTCCTTATGTTTCCAAGTTTACAAAAGGAAGAATTATAGATCATTTACAACATTATGTATCTCTTTTTCATGTTTGCAAATTATTTTTACTTTAATTTGTATTGTTTTTCTGTATCTTCTTAAACTTTCTTATACCCAGCAATGTCTACTTTTAACATTAAATAATATGCTTTTGTTGTTAATTTTATTAAAAGATGTGCATCATTTACTTGAGAGGGATATTTGGAATGCAATTCAAATGAAATTTGTTTTTAACATGTATATATTATTTAGGCAAAAGGTAGCTAGATATTTAAGGCAATTACATGCATTTTTCCACTTTTTTTTTTATTTTAGACAAAGCCTTGCTCTGTCGCTCAGGCTGGAGTGCAGTGGCACAATCTCGGCTCACTACAAGCTGTGCCTCCAGGGTTATGCCATTCTCCTGCCTCAGCCTCACGAGTAGCTGGGACTACAGGCACCTGCCACCACGCCTGGCTAAATTTTTTCGTATTTGTAGTAGAGATGGGGTTTCACCATGTTAGCCAGGATGGTCTCAATCTTCTGACCTCATGATCCGCCCACTTTGGCCTCCCAAAGGCATTTTGCCACTTTTTTAGGCTTAAAAGAATTGCCACATCTCACATGATATCAATAGTACTCTATATTTTAGCTTTAGCTTATTTATAAGAATTTATTCTGGATTTCATTTTAATATTGTTGTGAGATATGACTATAATGTTTTTCAGATAGGTAATAAATTATTTTACTATCATTTACCAATTTTTTCTACTGCTACTGACATGAAATGACACTTATTTTTTTAATTTTAATTTACTTATGTTTTATTATAGATTTAGAGGGTACGAGTGCAGTTTTGTTACATGGATATATTGCATAGGGGTGGTGGCTGAGCTTTTAGTATAGCCATCAGCAGAATAGTATTCATTGTACCCTTTAAGTAATTTCTCAACACACGCACCCTTCCCATTCTCTCACCCTACCGAGTCGCCAATGTCTATTACTCCACTCTTTGTCCAAGTGTATGCTTAATTAGCTCCCACATCTGATTCATTTCACTTACGATTATAGAGTCTTGTCCGTCCTTATTGCTGCAAAACACACGATTTATTTTCTTTTTTTTAGGGTGAGTAGCATTCCATAGCACATATAAATGTGTGTGTGTGTGTGTGTGTGTGTGTGTTTCTTTATCCAATCAGCCATTGATCCATTGGTAGATACTTAGGTTGATCTGGTGATTTTTTTTTGTCTTTTAAGGTATCTTATTTATTTATTTAAAAGTTGTTAATGTCTGTGGGTACATAGTAGGTGTATATATATTTATTGGTTACATGAGACGTTGATTCCATGACTTTGTTACTGTGAATAGGGCTGTGATAAACATACAAGTGCAAGTATCTTTTTAGTAAAATGATTTATTTTCCTTTGGGCAGATACCAATAATGCGATTGCTGGATCAAATGGTAGCCCTACGTTTAGCTATGTGAAAACTTTCCACACTGTTTTCCATAAAGGTTGTACTAGTTTATATTCTCAACAACAGTATAGCAGCATTCCCCTTTCTCTACATTTTCACCAATACCTGTTTTATTTTTTTTTCCTCTTCATAGTCATTCTAACTAGTGTAAGATGATATCTCATTGTGCTTTTAATTTACATTTCTCTTATGATTAGTGATGTTCAGCATTTTTTTAATGCTTTTTGGACATTTGTGTATCTTGTTTTAAAAAATGAGGAATGCTACCTATTTTATATGCTGAATATACACTTAATGCTCAGTTCTGTTTCTAGGCCTTCTATTTGGTTTCATTGATTTTTTGTTGTTTTTGGTGGCACTACTACACTGCTTTAGCTACTGCTGCCTAGCAGTAATATAACATCTCTGGCAATAAAAGTCCTTTGTTGGTCTTATTTTAAAAATTCTTTTTACTTTAATATTATAAAATGTACATAAACTATTAATAATTTTTTACTATTTAAATAACCATTTATTATCTATGTATCTATCTACCATCTATCTATCTATCTAAATGTCCAGGAAAACTCTTTTTGGTTAGTTGATTCTTGCCTTTAATTGTCTTTAAATTGTTTCAAAGCTCTGTAAATTGGTAGAACAATTCATTGTTCACAAGAATGCAAAATGGAGAATAATTATTGCATATGGATATGTAAATGGTTCTGTCTAGTGAAAGAACAGCACAACCATGGAAAAGTCCGATTTGTGTCCAATTGCAAGTTCACTTTAATATTCCTAAACTGTAAGTGTCTGATCTGTGAAGTTCTCCTATAATTAATTTTGGCAATGTTATTAGTTAAATAAAATTTTTGGCATTTGTTCATTTTATATTTGTATGAGAATTATGATTTCATCTTTGTAGGGAATTATGTCTTTAAAAATAGTATGGAATATTCTTCCAAGAAAAAGCAAAAATAAAAGTATAAAAGAAACAATATAACAATTCAAAAAAGACTTGGTAATAAAATATTTTAGTTACTTCAACTGCAGAGTTTTGACAGGTGTGATTGGTCCTAAGCCAGATATTGTACTAAACACTCAGGCTAATGTTTCAGAAACAGAGGGCTTTCTATAAACTCATTGTATTAACCATAGATAGATATTACTGGGTGACTTGGGAAGCTGTGACTGCAAATTTATATATAGCCATGTGATTTGCCGAATTCAGTCAAATGTTATCTGGATAAAATGTTGTAGATTAACAGATAATAAGAAAATGCCAAATAAGTTCAAATTAGAAGAGGTTACAAAATATACATAAGTCTGTAAAGGATTACATGGAATGGCCTTATCATATTATTAAATATACATTGGAAACCTTAAAACATCTTCACACACCAAAACAAAATCTAATAGCAAGTTAGATACTTTATTAGATAAGTGTAAAATACATTTTTAAAATAAAGATCAACATCTCTGAAGGACGAACGAGTACAGAAACCTAATGTGTAATACGAGGACTATAGGCAATAAAATTGTACTCTATATGAAATTCATGTTAAATGAGTAGATTTTAGCTGCTCTTGCCACAAAAACAAAAATGGGTAACTATGTGAGATGATGAATATGCTGATCTGTTTTGTTATTACAACCTTTTTACTATCTGTATTCCATGACAGTGTGTTGTGCACCTTAGCTATACATGATAACATTTATTTAGTAAAGAAAAACCGACCATGAAAGTCATAGCTGACCCAACAGCGTTGCCACTAGTAATAAAAATTTAAAAAGAAAAAAAAAGACAAACATGGTTAGTTTTATGTTTGTTAGTCTATGACAAAGTGGTCCTAAAAGTGGGCTGTCTCTGACTGTTGAAACCTTAAAAAATTTAGATATCTACAACTCTTTATCACCTGACACAACATATACTCCCTCAATGAGAAGGTAACTGCTTTACTGGCAGGTATTTTTTAAGTTAGAAATATTTTGAATTAATTGTACAAACATTAAAGTAAATCAAACCAAAATTTTTATATTTTGAGATAAAAATAATCTGTGCATGTTTAGTTTATACTAAAATTTAAAAATGTTGGCATATTAGAGTAATTACCTTATAATCAAATTAAAAATACATTATTGAGTAATTGATTCAAAATTTTAACTTGTGTATGATCACATGCATTACTGGAATATGGAGGAGAACTTAAGATATTGTTAGGTAAATATCTGAGTTCTTAAGAAAAGGAGGTCAAATATATTTATAAGAATAAATCAATTATTGAATAAATTTTGTTAAATTATAAAGGCCACAGAAAGCTGACTATTAAATTTTCTATATATTTTTACAGAGCAAAATCAGACTTGTAAACTAAAAAGGGAATCTTTAAAAAGAACTACACTTTGGAATTCTTAACTGTAATGTATTGCATTTTAAATCATCAATTCTTTAAAAAGTCATAAAATGAATTTCTTCTTTGCACAATGGCATTGTGTATCACACTAAAAAGCCCACAACTGGCAATGAACATTGCTATTGATGACAGAAAAATCTAAAGAATCTTAAATAAAAGTTAGCATTTTATTTGAGAATTTTTAATTCCACATGTTATGAACGTTTCATGAAAATAAATATGCAGTAAAAATTAGATTAATTTTATTATCTCATATTAGGATACACTTGGGTGTTAAAGTTCACTATCTACACATGAAATGGACTCATGCTTTTTAGTTCTTTCTTCCTTTTATGAGAATTCTTACATATTCACACTTCCCATCGGCATAATTATGAAACTCTCTCAATATATTTCAGATCCAAAATTTTCCTCCCAGAAATTTAAACCTACAAATGGGTTGAGTTTTTGTATTTCTGAACCTTCAGGTAATGGCTCATAATAATCCTGTTACTCCTTTTCCACACATTCTAGCACAATCTAAAGAAGTTTCTTAAAATAAATATAGTTATAAGCATAATCTGGCATCATACCACAGTTTATTGGTAAAATAAATTTTCTTATTCATTTTAATTGAAATATTTTAGATATCTCGAGATCTTCATAACTGAAGTGTCACAAAATAAAAGGAGCAAATTCCACGGCAGTTATTTCTTGAACAAAGTAGTTATCAATATTTTTCATTATTAATTTCTAAAATAGTGTGTCTGCAATTTAGCTTAGCAAGGTGATATGCTATGATGCAGAAAACAAAGTTAGAAGTTATATTGGTAAGTACATTTAACAAAGTAGAAAAATTAAATTTTTACTAAAATTAAATATGAACTGATGGTAGTAAATGTAAATGTATATCTGTGTGTATACTTGCATATATATTTGTATATGTGTGTGTTTACACATACACCCCTACACAAACATGCACATATACAAGTAGCAAGAGTGTAAATGAAAAGATTTGGAGACAGAAACATCAGCAAAGGAGTGGAACAGGTAGCTCCAATCACCCATAAGTCCACAGAAACATGGAACAAGAAGCAGGAACTGTCAAAACCAACTTTGCCCTAACTCTGGAAAGAGTCAAAGATTTACAGAAACCAAGCACAATTTGAACCAAGAAAAAGTCAACTTAAAAATAGTAAAAAAGCATTGTGACATCTTAACTTTCTCTTTCTCCAAACTCTCTCAACTGTGCGGGACTCCTGAAGACAATAGCCTGCATTCCAAGTGTGAGACCATGATCCTTGATCCCAAAGGGAGCAGAGCATACCTAATTCACAAAGAATTGTCTGGGTCTTTTCTAACCCATCAGGAGATACTTGAAAAACTGATGAAAGGTGTTCATCTCTGTTTCACCGAACTTGGAGCTCTCCCAGTGTGGAAAGGCAGCAGGCTTTGTTCAAAACACATTGTAAAGTGGGGTGAAACCCACAGCTAAAAGAATTCTCCCTATCTCTTCATAAACAGAGCCCCTAATAACCTATTTTAACTTAACTCACTATATTTTAATTGATGCATCATTTATGTCTTCCAATAAGATTGCATTTCTTAAGAACATTGACCATATTTATATTCATCATTCTACTTCCAGTATATAGGCATATGGTAAAGTGACTAACACATAGAAAGTCCTCCATGAAAAAAAAAAGACTGACATAATAGAAATAGCCGTTGTAACTCACACAGAAACTGAATTTCATTTTTATGGAAATCTTTATTTTAGTTTAAGTATTTATTTAAGATTTTACATTTAAATACATGCTGTTTATTTAAAAGTTACAATGAACTAATGCAATCTCCTTTAGCGGTTTATTTATTTTATTCTGTTTTGTTTTTACTGAATGCTCTCTAAAAATTTGGTCTCCAATAGTTATCCAATATAATCCATCGACAACATAAAAAACTCTACACTGGAGGATATTTCTTAAACCCCTCAGATAGGAAGAAAATATAGTTCATTTCTGAAACTCAAGTCTAGGAAACAAAGCTGTAGCAAAACTGAATTTATCATTGTTAACATAAACACAAAAATAGTTTTTAATCTTTCTAATTTTTATTCCCATTGGCGAATTAACAGTTGTGAATCCAAGAAAACTAAGCCCTTACTTCCAATTTGGTCAAAGAAATGGTCCCACCAGTGATGTGAACACTCTAGAAATTGAGCTATGTTTTCCTCAATAATACTGATCTTAAATTGTAAATTTAATTATTTATTCTCCCTCATCAGCATTAAGTTAACAATGAAATTTGTAATGATAATTATCAAGTAAGTCTTAATGAGATCTCATGCACCTTATATTATTTCAACAAATGGATCCTGGACTACTGGCAAAGTTTCTGCTAGTCAAGTTTCTCCAAAATCTTCCCAATTTTCCA
Source organism: Homo sapiens (assembly GCF_000001405.40). Classification (NCBI taxonomy): domain Eukaryota; kingdom Metazoa; phylum Chordata; class Mammalia; order Primates; family Hominidae; genus Homo; species Homo sapiens. Next base: position 67,266,972 of record NC_000006.12, on the reverse strand, counting down.
CTTAATATTATAAAGAAAAGAGTGAATCTTCTTATTGCAGGCCAAGATGGCCAACTAGAAACAGCTGCGGTTGGAGGCTCCCACTGAGAAGGAAAATGGTATGTGAATTCTGCACCGCCAAGTGAGGTATACAGGTTCTCTCAGTGGGACTGACTAGGCAGTTGGCATGACCCACAGAGAGCAAGGAGAAGCAGGGTGGTGCGACAGCTCACCTGGGAGCCACAATGAGCAAGGGAAGCTTTCACCCCCGGCCAAGGGAGGCGGTGAGTGATCGTGCTACCCTGCCCAGGAAACCACGCTTTTTCCACCGATGTGTGCAACCCATGGATCAGAAGATCCTCCTCATGAGCCCATGCCACCAGGGCCTTGAGTCCCATGCACAGAGCTGTGCAGATTCTTAGTGGCCACTCGGCTGGAGACTGCCTAAGACAACTAAGCTCCCCTGAGGAGGGGCGGCTGCCTGCTCCAAAAGACAACTGAGTTCCTGGATGGAGCGGGCGCAGCCATCACTGCAGGTCCAGTCTGCCTTTTTTTCCCCTGCTGCTGCCAGGGGAGACTGGACAATTTGAACCCAGGAGGAATTCCCCACAGCACAGTACAGCACAGCACAGCACAGCGGCTGTGGCAGATCCTGGCCAGACTGCTTCTCTAGGCCAGATTCTGACCCATCTGTCTTCACTAGGTGGGGCCTCCCGGCAGGAATTTCAGCAACTTCAGCCAGGGGTTTACGGACATAACTCTGATCTCCCTGGGACTGAGCCCCTGCGGGGAGGGGCAGCTGTAATCTCCACTGATCAGCAGACTTAATCTTTTGCCCTGCTGGCTCTGAGGAATCTGGACGATCTGGACAGGTAGATTTCCCCCGACACAGCGCATCCCCTCCTCCAAGGGGCAGCCAGAGTGCTGTTTACGGGCCTCATGCTTCCTGACTGGATAAGACCCCTCAACAGTGGTTGCCAGACATGTCATAAGGAACATTCCACCGATACCAGGTCGGTTATTTACTGGAACAGAGATCCCAGAGAAAGGAGCAGCCATCTTTGCTGTTCTGAAGCCTCCACTGGTGACACCTCCAGGTGCAGGAAGGACCCAGGCGAACAGAATCTGGAGTAGATCCCCAGCAAGCCACAGCAGCCCTATGAAAGAGGGGCCTGACAGTTAAAAGAAAAAACAAACAAACAGAAAGCAACAACAGCATCAGCAAAAAAAGTCCAAACAAAAACCCCATCTAAAGGTCATCAGCCTCAAAGATTGAAGCAAGATAAACTCATGAAAATGAGGACGCATTACTGAAGAAACACTGAAAACTCAAAAATTCAGTGTGCCTCTTTTCCTCCAAATGATTGCAGTACCTCTCCAGCAAGGGCATAGAACTGGGAAGAGGCTGAGATGGATGAATTGACAGAAGTAGGCTTCAGAAGGTGGGTAATAATGAACTTTACTCAGCTAAGGGAGCATTTTCTAATCCAATGCAAAGAAGCTAAGAACCATGATAAAATATTACAGGAGCTGTTAACCAGAATAACCAGTTTAGAGAGGAAAATAAATGACCTGATGGAGCTGAAAAACACAGCACAAGAACTTCACAGTGCAACCACAAGTATAAGTAACTAAATAGACTAAGAAGAATAAATTATATCAGAACTTGAAGACTATCTTGCTGAAATAAGATAGGCAGACAAGGTTAGAGACAAAAGAATAAAAACGAATGAACACAAACTCTGAGAACTATGTAAAAAGACTGAACCTATGACTGATTAGGGTATCTGAAAGAGATAGGGAGAAGGGAAGTAAGTTGGAAAACATACTTCAGAGTATCATACAGGAGAACTTCCTCAACCTAAAAAGACAGTTCAACATTCAAATTCAGGAAATTCAGAGAACTCCAGTAAGATACTCCATGAGAAGATAAACCTCAAGACACGTAATCATCAGATTCTCCAAAATCAGAATGAAGGAAGAAATGTTAAGGGCAACCAGAAAGAAAAACCAGCTCACCTGCAAAGGGAAGCCCACAGCAGACCTCTCAGCAGAAAACCTACAAACCAGAAGAGCATGGAGTCCAATATTCAACATTCTTTAAAAAAAAAAAAATTCCAACCCAGAATTTCATATCTGACCAAACTAAGCTTCATAAGTGAAGGAGAAATAAGATCCTTTTTAGACAAGGAAATTCTGAGCGAATTCAACACCACCAGGCTGCCTTGCAAGAGCTTCTGAAGGAAGCACTAAATATGGAAAGGAAAAACCATTACCAGCCACTGCAAAAACATGCTTAAGTACAAAGATCAGTGACACTATGAAGCAACTACATCAGTAAGTCTGCAAAATAACCAGATAGCCTCATGATTCACACATAACAATATTAACCTTAAATATAAATGGCTAAATGCTCCAATTAAATGACACAGAATGGCAAATTGAAAAAAGAGTCAAAATCCATTGGTGTGCTCTATTCATGAGACCCATCTCATGTGCAAAGACACATATAGGCTCAAAATAAAGGGATGGAGTAAAATTTGCCAAGCCAATGGAAAGCAGAAAGAAGCAGGGTTGCAATCATAGTTTCTGAGAAAACAGATTTTTAAACAAACAAAGATCAAAAAAAGAAAAAGAAGGTCATTTCATAATGGTTAAAGGGTCAATTCAATAAGAAGAGCTGACTATCCTAAATATATATACACCCAATACAGGAGCACTCCCATTCATAAAACTAGTAGAGGTGAACAAAGAGTCTTAGACTCCCACACAATAATAGTGGGAGACTTTAACACCTCACCTCAATATTAGACAGATCATTGAGACAGAAAATTAACTAAGACATTCAGTACTTGAACTCAGCTCTCCATCAAGTGGATCTGATAGATATCTAAATAACTCTTCACCCACAAACAACAGAATATACATTCTTCTTGGTGCCACATGGCACTTACACTAAAATTGATCACGTAGTTGGAAGTAAATCACTCCTTAGAAAATGCAAAAGAACTGAAGTCATAACAAAAATTCTCTCAGACCACAGCACAATCAAATACTCACTCAAACCACGTAACTACATGAAAATTGAACAACCTGCTCCTGAATGACTCCTGGGTAAATAGTGAAATTAAGGCAGAAATCAAGACATTCTTTATAACTAACGATAACAAAAAGACAATGTACCAGAATTTCTGGGATGCAGCTAAAGCAGTGTTAAGACGGAAATTTATGGCACTAAATACCCGCAGTAAAAAGTTAGGAAGATCTCAAATGGACACCCTGACCTCACAACTAAAAGAACTAGAGAATCAAGAGCAAACAAACCCCAAAGCTGTCAGAAAACAAGAAATAATCAAGATCAGAGCAGAAATGAAGAAGATAAGATAGGACAAACCCTTCAAAAAACCAGTGAATCCAGGAATCATTTTTTTGAAAAATAAAATAAAATAGATAGACCCCTAAATAGACTAATAAAGAAAAAAGAAAGAAGAATCAAATAGACACAATAAAAAAATGATAAAGGGGGTACAACCACTGATCCCACAGAAATACAAACAACCATAAGAAAATACTATAAACACCTCATTCAAATAAACTAGAAAATCTAGAAGAAATGGATGTATTCCTGAAAACATACACCCTCCCAAGACTGAACCAGGAAGAAGTTGAATCCCTGAATAGACCAATAACAAGTCCTGAAATTGAGACAGTAATAAATAGCCTACCAACCAAAAAAAAAAAAAAAAAAAAAAAAACGCAGGACTAGACAGATTTACAGCTGAATTATACCAGAGGTACAAAGAGGAGCTTGCACCATTTGTTCTGAAACTATCTCAAACAATTGAGAAGGAGTTGCTTTTTCCTAACTCATTTTATGAGGCCAGCATTATCCTGACTCCAAAACCAGGCAGAGATACAACAAAAATGAAAACTTCAGGCCAATATTCCTGATGAACATGGATGCAAAAATCCTCAATAAAATACTGGAAACTAAATCCAACAGCACATTAAAAGGCTTATTCACCATGACCAAGTAAGCCTCATTCCCAGGATGCAAGGCTGGTTCAACATACACAAATCAATAAACATAATTAATCACATAAACAGATCTAAAGACAAAAACCACATGATTATCTCAATAGATGCAGAAAAGGCCTTCAATAAAATTCAACATTCCTTCATGTTAAATACTGTCAATAAATGAGATACTGATGGAACATATCTCAAAATAATAAAAGCCATTTATGACAAACCCACGGCCAATATCATACTGAATGGGCAAAAAAAGAAAGTATTCCCCTTGAAAACTGGCATGAGACAAGGATGCCCTCTCTCACCACTCCTATTCAACCTAGTATTGGAAGTTCTGGCCAGGGCAATCAGGCAAAAGAAATAAATAAAGCATATTCAAATAGGAAAACAAAAAGTCAAACTGTCTCTATTTGCAGATGACAGTAGTCTATATCTAGAAAACTGCATTGACTTAGCCCAAAAGCTTCTTAAGATGATAAATTTTCAGCAAAGCCTTAGGATACAAAATCAATGTGTAAAAATCACAAGCATTCCTAGACACCAACATTAGACAAGCAGAGAGCCAATTCATGAATGAACGCCCATTCACAATTGCTAAAAAGAGAATAAAATGCCTAGGAATACCTAACCAGGGAAGTGAAGGACCTCTTCAAGGAGAACTACAAACCACTGCTCAAGGAAATCAGAGAAGACACAAACAAATGGAAAAACCTTCCATGTTCATGTATAGGAAGAATCAATATGATGAAAGTGACCATACTGCTCAAAGTATTTTATAGATTAAATGCTATTTTCATTAAACCACCATTGAAATTCTTCACAAAATTAGAAAAAAAACTACTTTAAAATTCATATGCAACTAAAAAAAGAGCCCCTATAGCCCAGGCAATCCTAAGGCAAAAGAAAAAGCTGGAGGCATCACACTACCTGATTTCAAACTATACTACAAAGGTACAGTAACCAAAATAGCATGGTACAAAAACAGACACACAGTCCAATGGAACAGAATAGAGATCTCAGAAATCAGAGAGAGATCTCAGAATAGAGATCTCAGAATAGAGATCTCAGAAATAAGACTGCACATCTGCAACATCTAATCTTTGACAAACCTGACAAAAAACAAATGGGGAAAGGATTCCCTATCTAATAAAGGGTGTTGCGAAAACTGGCTAGCCATATGAAGAAAATTGAAACTGAACCCGTTTCTTACACCTTATACAAAAATTAACTCAAGATGGATTAAAGACTTAAATGTAAAACTTAAAACTATCTAGGCAACACCATTGAGAACATAAGCACGAGCAAATATTTCATGATGAAAATGTCAAAAGCAATTGCAACAAAAGCAAAAATTGACAGATGGGATCTAATTAAACTAAGAGCTTCTGCACAGCAAAAGAAACTATTATCAGAGTGAATGGACAACTTACAGAATGGGAGATAATTTTTGCAATCATCTGAAAAGGGTCTAATATCCAGAATCTACAAGGAACTTAAACAAATTTACAAGAAAAAGACAAACAACCCCATTAAAAAGTGGGCAAAGGACATGAACAGACACTGCTTAAAGGAAGACATTTATGCAGCCAACAAACATATGCAATAAAGCTCAACATCACTGATCATTAGAGAAATGCAAATCAAAGCCACAATAAGATATCATCTCATATTACTCAGAATAACGATTATTAAAAAGTCAAGAAACCAAAGACAAAAACCACATGATTATCTCAATAGATGCAGAAAAGGCCTTGGACAAAATTCGACAAAGCTTCATGCTAAAAACTCTCAATAAATTAGGTATTGATGGGATGTAGCTCAAAATAATAAGATCTATCTATGACAAACCCACAGCCAATATCATACTGAATGGGCAAAAACTGGAAGCATTCCCTTTGAAAACTGGCACAAGACAGGGATGCCCTCTCTCACCACTCCTATTCAACATAGTGTTGGAAGTTCTGGCCAGGGCAATTAGGCAGGAGAAGGAAATAAAGGGTATTCAATTAGGAAAAGAGGAAGTCAAATTGTCCCTGTTTGCAGACGACATGATTGTATATCTAGAAAACCCCATTGTCTCAGCCCAAAATCTCCTTAAGCTGATAAACAACTTCAGCCAAGTCTCAGGATACAAAATCAATGTACAAAAATCACAAGCATTCTTATACACCAATAACAGACAAACAGAGAACTAAATTATGAGTGAACTCCCATTCACAATTGCTTCAAAGAGAATAAAATACTTAGGAATCCAACTTACAAGGGATGTGAAGGACCTCTTCAAGGAGAACTACAAACAACTGCTCAATGAAATAAAAGAGGATACAAACAAATGGAAGAACATTCCATGCTCATGGGTAGGAAGAATCAATATCGTGAAAATGGCCATACTGCCCAAGGTAATTTATAGATTCAATGCCATCCCCATCAAGCTACCAATGACTTTCTTCACAGAATTGGAAAAAACTACTTTAAAGTTCATATGGAACCAAAAAAGAGCCTGCATCGCCAAGTCAATCCTAAGCCAAAAGAACAAAGCTGGAGGCATCACGCTACCTGACTTCAAACTATACTACAAGGCTACAGTAACCAAAACAGCATGGTACTGGTACCAAAACAGCATGGTACTGGTACCAAAACAGAGATATAAATCAATGGAACAGAACAGAGCCCTCAGAAATAATGCCGCATATGTAAAACTATCTGATCTTTGACAAACCTGAGAAAAAAAAGCAATAGGGAAAGGATTCCCTATTTAATAAATGGTGCCGGGAAAACTGGCTAGCCATATGTAGAAAGCTGAAACAGGATCCCTTCCTTACACCTTATACAAAAATTAATTCAAGATGGATTAAAGACTTAAACATTAGACCTCAAACCATAAAAACCCTAGAAGAAAACCTAGGCTTTACCATTCAGGACATAGGCATGGGCAAGGACTTCATGTCTAAAATGACAAAAGCAATGGCAACAAAAGCCAAAATTGACAAATGGGATCTAATTAAACTAAAGATCTTCTGCACAGCCAAAGGAACTACCATCAGAGTGAACAGCAACCTACAAAATGGGAGAAAATTTTCGCAACCTACTCATCTGACAAAGGGCTAATATCCAGAATCTAAAATGAACTCAAACAAATTGACAAGAAGTAAACAAACAACCCCATCAAAAAGTGGGCAAAGGATATGAACAGGAACTTCTCAAAAGAAGACATTTATGCAGCCAAAAAACACATGAAAAAATGCTCATCTTCACTGGCCATCAGAGAAATGCAAATCAAAACCACAATGAGATACCATCTCACACCAGTTAGAATGGCAATCATTAAAAAGTCAGGAAACAACAGGTGTTGGAGAGGATGTGGAGAAATAGGAACACTTTTACACTGTTGGTGGGACTGTAAACTAGTTCAACCATTGTGGAAGTCAGTGTGGCGATTCCTCAGGGATCTAGAACTAGAAATACAATTTGACCCAGCCATCCCATTACTGGGTATATACCCAAAGGACTATAAATCATGCTGCTATAAAGACACATGCACACGTATGTTTATTGGGACACTATTCACAATAGCAAAGACTTGGAACCAATCCAAATGTCCAACAACGATAGCCTGGATTAAGAAAATGTGGCACATATACGCCATGGAATACTATGCAGCCATAAAAAATTATGAGTTCATGTCCTTTGTAGGGACATGGATGAAATTGGAAATCATCATTCTCAGTAAACTATCGCAAGGACAAAGAAACAAACACCGCATGTTCTCACTCATAGATGGGAATTGAACAATGAGAACACATGGACACAGGAAGGGGAACATCACACTCTGGGGCCTGTTGTGGGGTGGGGGGAGGGGAGAGGGATAGCATGAGGAGATATACCTAATGCTAGATGACGAGTTAGTGGGTGCAGCACACCAGCATGGCACATATATACATATGTAACTAACCTGCACATTGTGCACATGTACCCTAAAACTTAAAGTATAACAATAATAATAATAAAAAGTAACGTCATGACTTTCATGGATTAAAAGAAATCCAGTTCACTTTAAGGGATCTTGGAGAAATAGATGGTTCTTGAACTTGATTACTTTATATTTAAGTAGTTACTAAAAGGTTTTAAAAAAAGAAACAGATATTTAAATAGTATTTCGACACATCGTAGAGTTCTCTGCAAGTTTGTTGAAACCTCAGTGAATGAATAAATGAGATGAATAAATGAAGTATCATCTGAGTCCTTACCTAAAACCTAGGAAGATCAAAGGATGCCAAGGAAATTCTGTTTTCTAGATTGGGGCATGTTTTGCCAAGTTCAAGTTCTTTTCTCTTTCTCTCAGCCTCACTTAGGAACTTTTAGAATCTGTATATTGTTCTCCTTCACCAGGAAGTCAAAAATAAGAGAAATATGAAAAAGTATCTTTGCTTCAAGAAAGAATAGCCAATGCTTCCAGATAATCATATAAAACCCTTCTTTAAAGAAAAAAAGACTTGAAGCCACTAACAGAGGAAGAGTTATTTTCTTGGAATTTATACTAACCTGTCTTTTAGTAAGTCTCAATTTGAAAGACTGAGTAGAGGCCAGAACTGCTAGAGAAAAACAGAATATCAGGATTGGAGAGGGCCCCATGTATTATTAGTTGTGAAAAATAAATCCTATATTATTCTTTAACATGCAAAGACAGTAAAGGGAATAGAAATATTCTGATTACATGTGGCTGTGTAACAAATCATCCTAAAATGTAAGGGCTTAAAAGAACTACTCTTTCATCATTTCTCATGATGTCATAGGGGAGTGATATGCTGATGTTACAATGTCCAAATGGCTTTTTCACTCACATGCTTCAGACATGTATGTAGCTCAAAATGGCTCAGCTTGGGTCACGTGTCTGGGACTTAAATTTTCTCTTTTAGTCGGGCTCATTGGCTGTCTTCCAGTAGTCTAAGGGTTTCTGTTTCTCTATAGGTTCTCTTCACGTGGCCTTAACACACAGTGTCTCTAGCAGAGATGCCACACTTCTTACATAGAAGCTGGGGCTCCCAGGAATGCAAAAGCAGAAGCTGCCAGGGCTTCTTAAGTTTTAGGTCTGAAATACGGCAGCAATGTTTCCACTGCATTCTATCGATTAAAGCGAGTTTCAGGCCCACCTCATATTCAAGAAGAGTGTACTACACGAAGATGTGAATACCAGAAGTAATGGGCCATTGTGGCATTCCAACATAACAGAAAACGAAAACACAGTATTTAGACTGGCTAACTGGACCCCAAAGTCTAAAACCAAAGTTGCAAAACATGCATTTGACTCCTGCAAAATGTTCAGATGGCAAGAAGAGAAGATCATCATATAGTGATTGATGCTAAGTCTCCCAAGAACGGAATAAGTAGGGAAAAAAATGCGCTGGAGAATGACAGACTATTTCATTTGTCATCTTGAACATTAATTGTTTTGATTGAAATTATCCTTTTCAATATCAGAGAACGGAATGAATTTTACCATAGTGTTGTAAATTATATTCTAGAAAAATCAGACTCTGTAAAAATATTCTCTATTTAAGGAATGTGTGTTTTCCTGCAAAATTTTTATTCTTGGTGCTTTGTCATAAAAAATTATAAAATAAGAGAAAGTAAAGAGAACACTACTTTAACTGAATCTTACATATTTTAGCTGCGGGCTGCGGCTTTACAGGGGCAAACAAGTATCCAAAGAGATCTTATACATGGGAACACCACCATTTACATCTTTGTTCTGTTTTCTTGCATGTTGTGCAAGGTCACGCCTAAAAATGAATTAAAGGGCAACTGTCAAGATGATAGCTTAAAAAAAAAAAGTCAAGAAACAATAGATGCTGGCAGGGCTGTGGAGAAATAGGGATGCTTTTACACTGTTGATTGGAATATAAATTAGTTTGACCATTGTGGAAAATAGTGTGGAGATTTCTCAGAGACCTAAATCAGAAAAACCAATTGGCCCAGCAATCCAATTACTGGGTATATACTCAAAGGAATAAAAATTATTCTATTATAAAGATAAATGCAGGTGTATATTCATTGCAGCACTATTCACAATAGCAAAGACATGGAATCAACCTAAATACCCATTAATGATAGACTGAATAAAGACAATATTGTACATACACACCATGAAATACTATGCAGCCATAAAAAGGAATGAGATCATGTCCTTTGCAGGGACATGGATGGAGCTGGAAGCCATTATCCTCAGCAAACTAACACAGGAATAGAAAACCAAACACCACATGTTCTCACCTATTCATGGGAGCTGAACCATGAGAACACATGGACGCAGGGAGAGGAACAACACACACTGGGCCTGTGAGAGGGGCAGTGGGAGGGAGAGCATCAGGATAATAGCTAATGCATGTTGGGCTTAAAACCAAGGTGATGGGGTGATAGGTGCAGCAAACAACCATGACACACATTTACCTATGTAACAAAATCTGCACATCCTGAGCATGTATCCCGGTACTTAAAATTAATTAAATTATTTTTTTTTTAAAGAGAGACCTTTGGAAGAAAGAAGTCATGGCTCTCCAGGGAGCTCTATTAATGCTTCCCCCTCAAGAACACTTTTGTGAATAATTCAGGATATTCTGGCAATTCCAAAACAGATGTTCCAAGCTCAACAGGTAAATGGAAATCAGATTAGGAGGGACTGGGTCTGGAACCAGATGCCCTCACAAAGTGGGGCAGCAGGAAGGACACCCAAAATCACTTGAGGGGTCCATTTGAGGGGTCACAATCTAGAAGACATACTCCCTTTCCTAGACTTTGTGAGATGACTGCCTCTTTTAGTTGCCAAAAATAATTAATGTAACAACAAAAAAAGAAAAGAGTGAATCTTCTTCTTACAATAAAACGGTCTCAAATAAAATAGTATCATTAACACTGGGTACAGTAACTATCAAGAAATATCCCCCTTATGAGAATTTATAAGAAATATTAAAAACACATTCATTTTCATGAAAGCCAAACTCAAAATTAAGACTTTCATACAAAAAATTAAACTATAATACATATAAACAGATACATTTGTCTCACAGGCAAAACCGATATAATATAATTAACATGGTGATGTAATAATGTTATATTATTTGATCCATACACAAAAAAGTGAGAATAACATGTTATATTATTTATCCATACAGAAAAAAGTGAGAGTAACACGTTACTATCTATATCTCCTAGAAAATATTTTTTTTCTTATTGCCCAATTTAAAAATGTAAAATAACCCTAGCCAAGTGTAAGGTGTTTCCCCTGAGGTTTTGCAATCCTTTAATGTACCTTATTGAGAGATTACCCTGCTTTCTCTCAAAACCCACCAAATCCCTACAAGTCTCTCTGAATTTCTCTGTATTCAAAGAGTCCTACACACTAGCACTTTTCACTGTCTGCACTGTTCCTGAAGGAGACCATTAGGCCCATGGCCTTACATTATCTTGGATCAATTGGTTGGAGATTAAAGAGTGGGGTGATTGGCATCTCTATTACCTCCTTTGTCCAACACATCCAATAAGTGGTTCACATTTTTATTTATGAACCTTGGATAATCGAGTAATATGGTTTAGTAATGGTAATAATGTCTATAGCATGGATAGTAGTAATAATGTTTAATTGTATTGTTCTATGTGAGTGGCTTAGGGAGGACTGGGTTAAAATAATTTTCCTTATTCTTCTTGCTGACTCCCATGCTGGTAGAGGAGATGGGGGGCTTTTGGAACGTGTATTCAAATAAGCATTTGCAATCAAGCACAAGCCTTGTCGTGACAAGATATATTTTCAACTTATTTCAAATTGCCTAGGCTCTCAAAAAAACCTTTTTCTCTCATCACAAAGAATTTTTTTATGACACAATTAGGATCAGTAGAATGTATCTACCTAAGGATATAGGAAGATAAGTAGTCTTTAGTTATACTTTCGTTTTTATGTCATAACTGTGTTTTATTTATTTTCTCTAAAAGTCAGTGCAACAAAACAATGCAAAGACTGGAACATAGGTTCTCTTATAAATAACATTTTACTGTAAGTATATATTCATTGGGCCTTGACAGGCAGAATGGAGGTTTAACTAAATAACACTTTCACAACCAGACATCATTCAGAGAAGGCTAAGTTGTAAAAATAATTAAAAATAAAATTATCTAGAAAAAAATACCACAAGATAAAACAGGATAACCAAATGCTTCTAGTCTTAGACTTTTGCTTATATTGGTGACATTGACTTAACATTTGACTATATATTCCAAAGTATATGAATGTATGCACGTGTCCAACTATTTTATCACTTTCCTCAGCGCTTTCCATTCAATAATTATCTATTGATTTGGAAGAGCAAATAAATGCATTCTTCTTATAAGACTCTAGTATTATATTATTCAAACCTCTTGTGTGTCAAAATAGATCTAACTATAAAAAGGTACTTGAATAATAAAATCTTAGATGTTTATACTGAAAATATATAGACAGAATAGATTTTTCATTTTATAAATATCGTCTCTACAGTATCAGTGGCAGCTTGCCAGTCAGTCTTTTCTTGTACATTCTCCTCATAATAGCTTATTCTATCATGTACAGCTTTGCTTATTGTGAGATTTTTAAACCAAAATTTGTGTTTCCAAACAAATGCTTCTTTGACGTACTTTTGCCCTTATATTCAATGAAAGAGACAATTGATGAAATTACTGAAAATTTAAAAAAGCTGTCCCAAACCTTTTACATATTTCCTTTTTAGGTCAAACAAGCTCAGATTTAGCCATTTAGCCATTTTAGTCTAACACATTGTCACTATCTACATGGGATAGCAGTGGTTTTCATGGGGTTCTCTCTGACTGTCTCTTTCCCTGATCTCCCTGTTTTCAGCTGATCTGTCTGTAGGTATTACACTCTGCTCTTAGTCTCCAACAATTGCCAGATAATAGATCTACTGGTTTTGTTTGTTTGTTTATTCAAATTAAGTTTTTTAAAGTTTTATTTTTTAAATAATATCTTTCAATTTCAATAAATATTGTAATTTATTTTTGAATTTTTAAAATGTTGTTATGTCTATAAAAGGTGTATATGATGTTTACCTATGTAAGCATACATATTACTGTGTATATGCCGTATTGTTTTTTGACAATTGTTTTTTGAAACATAAATTGCTCCATAGTTTGATCCAACTACACCTAGATCTCTTTGATGGGAGGGTCTTAGTTTGGGCTGCTATAACAAATCACCATACATTGGGTGTCTTAAACAACAAACATTTATGTCGCACAGTTATGGAAGTTGTGAAGCCCAAAAGCAAGGTGTCAGTTGATCTCAGATCTGTGGAAAACTCACCTTCTAGTTGATGGATGGATACCTTCGTGTTGTATGCTCACATGGTGGAGAGTTGCCCTTTCAGAACCTAATAAACTCCCAATCGCCATATGTACAATTTCCATCACATTGTGAATTAGGGTTTCAGGATATAAATTTTGGGGTTACACAAACATACAGTTAATGGCAGGTAGACTTTGAGGCACATCTTTGCGCTTTTTTCTGACCCCAGGGGGGCTCTTGTTAGCTGCCTATTTCTCTGATTGTCTATTTTAAACTTCTAGTTCTGCACTTTATCTTTTTCCTTTCTTGGAGATACCTGTCTCCTCTTAAGTGCATACCATGAAAATCCCCAATGTTTTCAACAGTGCCCTTAGACATTACTCTCTGAGCTTTGTTCCAAATAAAATCGATCCACTCAGGGAGAGGTACAAATTTCTCCTTTCTTAAGATCTACATTTCCCCCTGGGTAAAACATTTGTACCACTGTCTTGTAGCTGGGGATAGAGTAATGGCCCACTTCTATCAGATGGCACTATGATTTATAAGCAGGGTACAGGGCAGGGAGTATAGCCTCTATTTTTTTCAGCTTGCCTCTCCTGATGAGAAACCTCCATCCTATGAGTAAATTAGGGTAAGAACAATTAGAGCCTAGTATTTTCATCCTGCTGCATCTGGAGTAGAGTTTTTACCTCATAAATGGAAGAAAGACAGAGGAAGGAAGCCACAGACCTCACAGCTGCTATTGATTAAAACAGAGCTTCTGTGGCACAGATCTGTGGAGGATGATAAATGCTGGCAGCCTGCCCTTCTTAGCAGATACCATAGCCCTAGACTGGTAGCTAGGGAAGAAAGAACCTCATACACTTACATAAAAAAAATGCCAAGAATGGGCAGGAGAAGTGGCTCACGCCTGTAATCGCAGCACTTTGGGAGGCTGAGTGGGCTGGATCTCCTGAGGTCAATAGTTCGAGACCAGCCTGGCCAACATGCCAAAACCCTGTCTCTACTAAAAATACAAAAATTATCAGGGCACGATGGCATGTGCCTGTAATCCCAGCTACCCAGGAGGCTGAGGCGGGAGAATCGCTGGAAACTGGGAGGCAGAGGCTGCAGTGAGCCAAGATCATGCCACTGCATTCCAGCCTGGGCAACAGAGCAAGACTCTGTCAAAAACAAAAAACAAACAAACAAACAAACAAAAAACACCTAGGAATATAACTTCTTTCTTGATGAACTGACTGGAAAGAAAATCATTGTTCTTCATATGTCACAGATTCTCACTGTTCTTATCATGATTTATAGGTTTTCTTAAATAAATGTTTGTTCCATTTGCTGTTTGCCCTTAGGAAGTTTCTAGTGTTTTTAAATGCCTTCAAATATATATTTTAAAAAATATTTTTTACCAGTTATATTTGTTTTCCTGGAGCATGTCCTCAGAAATCATCATGCTTCCCCTCAGAGATCCTCTAGAAATGTGCATCCTGTATTAGTCTATGGTATTAACATAACTACTATTATTTATTCATTTCCTTATTTATTAGTTTGGGAAGTCTTCCCTTTTTTATTTTCATTTTTTTATTTGCATTTATTTACTTACTTACTTTGAGATGGAGTTTCACTTTTGTTGCCCAGGCTAGAGTGCAGTGGCAAGATCTTAGCTCACTGCAACCTCTGCCTCCTGGGTTCAAGCGATTCTCCTGCTTCAGCTTCCTGAGTAGCTGGGATTACAGGTGCACACCACGACGCCTTGCTCATTTCTTGTATTTTTAGTAGAGATGGGGTTTCACCATGTTGGCCAGGCTGGTATTGAACTCCTGACCTCAGGTGATCTGCCTGCCTCAGCCTCCCAAAGTGCTGGTATTACAGGTGTGAGCCACCGTGCCTAGCCAAAGTCTTCCCTTTTACTAGCCCATATCGTCTTGTGTATATTTGCAAAATTTCCCATAAAGTATAATCCTAAAAATAGATTTCATCTGGTATATTATTTCTTTGTCTTTTATCAGAAAAATTTTACTCAAATATTTTACCAGCAATTTTTTATTTTCTAATTTATTTCTCGAATGTGTTGTAATTTATAATTCCACTAGTAGTGTATCGGAATACTTTTCAGGAGAGGTTGGCATATGGTAAGCCTCACATTTGCCTCTACTTTTGTCCTATGAATAATTTGCTGGTTTGCTGTAGGGGGATAGAGATTGAAAGAAGCAGCTTTAGGTGTACAGTAGTCACACTGTTCCAAGGTCACGGAAGTTGAAATTCGGGGCTCACAAGGAATCTGAGTATTAGGGAGATATGATATAGAAAAAGGTAGTGTTCATTCTTCTAAAATTGCTATGTGTTTTTCTTCTTGAGTCACTTGCTGAATGTTAAGCTGCATATGCATTAAAAAGTTTGAAAAATAAATTAAAATTAGGTGCTGTGATGCTATATCATTAAGCAAATGTTAAGCATTTTGCAGACCTAAGCAAGACAGGGGTTGAACTTCAGGACATGACAGATGGAGGAAAGCTGGTAAATACTTAGGTTATTAGTGAGGGCTATGGTAGGAAGAGAAAACTAGAAACAGATGAGTTCTACAAAACCTGAAACCTAGCGTGGACTGAATGAAGGTAGTCTGCCTGTTTTCAAAGAGCCTAAGAGAAGGTAAATAAATCAACCCTGGAATAAGTAACATCACCAAGCATCATCTTTTCCTACTTAATGTCCAGCATTCTCTCAAATGTCACCAAGCATGCCAGTAAGCAGGATCAGATGATTAACAATCGAGAGATAAAAGAACAATAGATACAAATTCATAATTTATTCAGAAACTAATATTAAAATAACTATGATTAAAGTGTTCAAGATGAGAAATAATTTCACCAGATAATTTAAATTTTTGTATTTTTATTTAAATTCTAGAACTATATTCTAGACCAATATAATAATAATTGAAATAATTCAATAGGTGTGTTAATAGTAGATTTAAGCAGAAAAAAAGATTATTGATTGGGAGTATGCATCAGAACATATCTATATTAATATACATAAAGAAAAGATAAGAAATATGGAAAAGGATATAAAAGAAATGTAGGTCATGCTACAAAAACTATATACAAATTTAAGCATAAGAAAGAGCAAAAAGATTATGAGGATAAATAACATTTGAAAAGATACTTGTTGAGACCTCTCTGAAACTGATTAAATACATAAAATCAGAGTTTGCAAAACATGCAAAAGAAACAAAAGATAAAAACAAAGCCTATACCTGTTGGCTATTTGCATGTCTTCTTTTGAAAATGTCTATTACAATATTTTACTAATTTTAATTGATTTATTATTTTTGCTATTCAGTTGTTTGAGTTCCTGATATATTTTGGATATTAGCTTCTAGTCAGATGCATAGTTTGTGGATATTTTCTTCCATTCTGTAGCAATGTTGTCTCTTCCCTTTGTTATTTCTTTTGCTGTGCAGAAGCATTTTAGTTTGACATTTGTCTATTTTTGCTTTTGTTGACTGTGGTTTTCAGGTCTTATTCAGAAAATCCACGCCCAGATCAATGTCATGAAGCATTTTGTACGTTTTCTTCTAGTAATTTCAACGTGGAACACTTAAGTATTTACTCCACTTTAAGTTGATTTTTGTAAGTGATGAAAGAATTGTGTCTTGTTTCATTCTTCTGCATATGAATATTCAGTTTTCCTATCACCATTTAACGACGGGACTGTCTTTCTCCACAATGTGAATTATTGCAACCCTTGTCAAAAGTTAGTTGGCTGTACATGTATAGATTTATTTCTGGGTTCTCTATTGTGTTCAATTTATCTATGTGTCTGTTTCCATGCCAGTACCATGTTGTTTTGTTCAATATTGTTTTGTAGTATATTTTAAGTCAGGTAATGTGATTTCTCCAGCTTTGTTCTTTTTGCTTAAGTTTGATTCCACTACTTGGGGCTTTTTGTGGCTCCATACAAATTGTAGGCTTGTTTCCATTTCTCTGAAAAATATCTTTGCTTTTTTTACAGGAATTGCATCTAATCTTTATATTGCTTTGGATAGTGTTGAATTTTAGCAATATTAGTTCTTCCCATGTATGAACACAAGCTACCTGTCCACTTATTAATGTCCTCTTCAATTTTCTGTAATCAGTATTGTATAGTTTTCATTGCAGAGTTATTGTACCTATTTTCTTAAATGTATTTCTAGTTTTTTTGTAAATTTTTTAAATGGAATTGATTTCCTTGCTGTTTTTTTCAGATAGTTCACTGTTGTTATCTAGAAATGCTGTTTGATTGTTGTGTGTTGAATCTTAAAAGCACCAATCTTAAAAGAAAAAAAAAACCAGAAAACTAATCTGGGCTTAATTAAAATTAGTGAAGTCAAAAGGAAGAATTAAGAAAGGGAAAGATACAAGTGATAGAATGATATAAGATTTTTTTCAATACACACACCAAATTCTGTAAAACTACAGAGCAGCCATAATTTTTCCCCTCTCTTTTAATGCACACTTCTTTGCAATTTGACTTAGCTGTGTCTTCAGTCAAGAGGTGAGGGTCTATTTCTCTTCCTCTTAAATCTTGCATTGACCAAGTGAGCTGTCTTAACTAATGGAGCATTAAGCAAAGATCAGACAAGCAGAAGTTCAAAAACTGCCTAACATTGAATTTTGCCCTCTTCCTGCTTTTTGGAACACTGTTATTTGCTATCATGTGAGGAAGCCTAGCCTAAGCGATTGGAAACATGGCCCTGTCATCTTCATCATACCTGCAACAAGCAGTACCTAACAAGGCCTGGCACCAATTTCCAGGCATAAGAATGAGGCGATCCTTAGCCAGTCACCTTTACCCAAAGAATGAGATGACTAGAGCTCCATTAGTAAGCCCAGGAAAGATCAGCAAAATTCTTAAGTTAAACCAGTTCAAATTCACTTTTCAGAAAATAAAATTGCTAAATATGATAAATCTTTAGGGTATCTATTGGTGAATGTCTCACATAGTTAACATAAAAATAAAGTCTATTTGAAAATATGTATACAATAGTGTGAAGTATATCAAATAATAAGCATACACGTAAACTCTGACAGGATCTCAGTGTGGTAATATTATAGACAGGTTTTTGCATCGGTATGTGCTTGTATTTTCCCTTCTGTCCCTTCCTTCCTTCCTTCCTTCCTTCCTTCCTTCCTTCCTTCCTTCCTTCCTTTCCTTCTTTCTCTCTTCCTCTCTTTTCCTTTCTTTTATTTTTGTTCTTGAGAAAGGGTCTTGCTCTATCACCCAGACTGGAGTGCAGTGGCACCATCACAGCATACTGCAGCCTCAACTTCCTGGGCTCAAGGAATCCTCCCACCTCAGTTTCCTGAGTAGCTGGAACTACAGGCACGCGCCGTCAAGCTCAGCTAATTTTGTGGTTTTTGTAGACAGAGGATTTCACCATTTTGTGCAGGCTGGTCTCAAACTCCTGGGCTATAGAAATTTACGCTCCTCTGCTGCCCAAAGTGCTGGGATTTTAGGTGTGAGCCACTGTGCCTGGTCCCTATTTTCCTATTTTAATTATGTTTATTAATTACTATTAAATTTGAAATAAGTTTATTTTATTAAAACAGGAGAAAAATAGATGTTTTGCTTCTGTAAAATATTTAATAATATTAGCTGAGTAGTTTTCAATATATAAACAAAAGAAAGCTAACATTTAAATTAGGAATATGTGTATAAAACTTGTACAGCATTGTTGAACAAATTTTCTGTTATGATCATTTCAGCTTTCTGAATGCTTCTTAAATGCTCAAATGAAAATTTTATTTATCTTCTTGTTGAGCATTTTACTTAATACTCTTTTATCAAAACTATCCTTATAAAGTTGAATTTTTCTATTGTTTGTTACCCAGTAAATTTTCATTAAGAAATTAAATGTAGGTATATTTATTTCCATATTTACTTTTATATCAGCTCATATACTAGTGTCTATTATTTAAGTTAATTACTGACAGATCTAAACTTTGACTATTTTGTGATATATATGTTAAGTAGTAATTTCATTAATAATTTTAGCTCAAGGTTAGTTAAGTTCAGTGTCCTATAAAAGCAAATTAAAATACTTACACATCAATTGATGTATCATTTTTCTATATTTTTTCCATGACACCACAAGTTGTTCACATATTTCAAAATGGATTATAATATATTTGTATGTAATTCAAAAAGTTTAAATGTCAGTGTTACTGGATGTAAAAGATTTCTAAATTTATATTTTGTTTTTGATCTTTAAAACATTTTATGTGAAAACATCACATTTAAATATAAATTCTATGTATTTCAAAATGCACATATTTTTGTTTTATAAACATTTTCCTTAAATTGTCTATTGGACTTTCTAGTTTTAAAAATATGGCTTAGTCACATAGGCCAAAGGGTATAATTGTCTAAATTATTCTACAGAACACTTATGGTTTTCGTTAACATAGTTCAATGATATATAACTCATTTAGTTACAAATATTTTGTGAGTGTTAGAACTTGCAGACCTTAAACAGGTTTTCCAAACTGTTTTATTGCTTGTTAGCAGCAAAGCATGTTTTTATTGTCTTCTATGCTGCCTTTAATATATTTTATATATCTACCAAGTAAAGAGATGAGAATGAGAGTATTTACATTCATACTTTATCATGGAAGGATAAGTTAAATTATGTTTTATCCAGTGATATTCTGTTGACTCTGTGATTGCATCCTCAGTTCCAAACAGTATACATATGTTCACTGAACCAATAAATAACTCATTTCAATGCTTTACTTGTGTTGTGTGTCTCTTCTCTGGAAAACAAAATGGTTCACAAAATTAGTGGTTACTACAGGTAAAGCAAACCTGATAGAACATAAAGAACATGAAAAAGTTTCAGAAAAAGGCAAGGAAAACTACCTCATACTAGTAAATTATAGACGAGATTGTTTTCCCTTCAAAAATTTGCATATAATTTCAGGGGAGAAAACTCCTATAAACAAAGGTTTGGTTTTGATTTGTTTTCTTGTTTTACAAAAAGACCTTAGGATAACATGAGACTAAGTCCAAAATTCACATAGATTAAATACAGTAGCCACCCCTTACTCAGAGAAAATATGTTCCAAGTCTCCCGTGTGGATTCCTGAAACTACGGATAGTGCCAAATTCTATATACCGTGTTTTTCTCTTATACATACATACCTTTAATAAACTTTGATTCATAAATCAGGCATTTTTGCACTTTGGGGCTGTTATTAAGTAAAATAAGGGTTACTTAAACACAAGCACTGCAATACAGTAACAGTCGATCGGATAACCAAGAAGGCTCCTAAGTGATTAATGGGCAGGTAGCTTTCGCAGCATGGATAGCTGGACAAAGGAATATTTCATATCCTGAGTGGGACAGAACAGGAGGGCACAAGATTTCATCATGCTATTCAAAACAACATGCATTTAAAACTTTTGCATTGTTTATTTTTGGATTTTCCATTTAATATTTTCAGACTATAGTTTACCATGGGTTACTGAAACCACAGAAAGGAAAACCAGGGATAAGAAGGGACTACTGTAAAATTTCATACAATTTTGATTACGATTTGCATTACAATATTATTATTATAATTATTGGGCCATGGGTATATATAAAGGAAGTGAACAGAGTACTCTGGAAATACAAATTACAATGAGTTACTTGGCAAGCAGATTTTATAATTCACAGGTATATACGATTTACCGTACTGTATTTTTCAACAAAATTGAACATAAATACACGGAAATTGAGTTTTTTAAATACATAGACATTAGAGAGGAGGGGAGTTCACTATTGACTGCAAAATGTGTCATTCTACATGGAAGAGTTTGAATTATGAAAATACTTTATTTCGTATTATCAATGTTCCATTTCTCTATTATGTCTATCCTTCCATCTGTAAATCTGTTTATCAATTTAACATTTATCTAATGTGTTAAAAACTGTATAATCATTGGACTTTGAGGGTATAATCACTTCTCCAGTTTCTATATATATGTATATCTCATCTGGAAAATAATTGTATTTCTTACAACTGACTTAACTAGATTTAAATAAAATGTTTCACACTAAATCCTTTCTTGTTTCTTCTCTGAATTGTCACTTCTGTTTTAAGAATAGGTCTTAGCACATTCAATATTTCTAATTAAGGCTGTAATGTAATTGATTGTAGTGAAACATACAGACTGAAAAATTTAAGTATTTTTGTGGCAGGCCTATAACATCCATAGTTGAAAAGGAAGAAAAATAAACTGGAACTAATCTACAGAGACAGTTTGGAATCTGATTGTAAAGATTTTTTTTTCTTTTTTTTTTATGCCTACAAGAATTTAGTGTCTCAACAAAGAGGAAACCAATTTAACTTCTCTAAATGTGAGAAGTAACATCATCTTTTCCATTAGCTAACCCTATTGATTCAACTCTCTTGCCTTACTCAAATCAAATGTATTGCCCCATGACTCTAAAACAGTCAAAGGAACAACCTAAAAGCCCAATGAGTTGTTATACTACTATGTGACACGAAGATTTCAAGACTATTGTATACAGAGTATATGCTTATACTCTTAATATGTGGTTTAGTACTTGACATCGTCCTTCAACTGTCTTTACTTTTCATTTTTCTTCTTCATTCAGCATTTCCAGAATTGGGAACCCAGTTCCCTAGGGAAATAAGATAAAGTGAGAAATCGTTTACCCCTTTGATATTATGCTAAGGAATCCAGAAAGAAATATGATACCCTGCCAAGGCACTCATATAATATAGTTGTATATCAAAAACATCCTACAGAAAAAGTATAGGAAGAGTCCCTAAGTCCCTTCTGAGCTATTTGCTCATCTCTCTTGATGAAAAGTTTCTCTCCTGCATTTTCAAATGTTAATTTCCTTAACATACGGAGTAGGCTATCAATAAGGCTCACCAAAAGACCATTTTATTCTCTTTGTTGATATGACAGCATGCATGCATGCACAAACACACACACAAAACTGGTATAACTATTCTGCCTATATTTCATAGTTTAAAAAGTCTAATCACCCAGGCGCGGTGGCTCACGTCTGCAATCCTGGCACTTTGGGAGGCTGAGACGGGCAGATCACAAGCTCAGGAGTTGGAGAGCAGCCTGACCAACATGGTGAAACCCTGTCTCCACTAAAAACACAAAAATTAGCCGGGCAGTGGTGGCGCACACCTGTAATCTCAGCTACACAGGAGGTTGAGGCAGAAGAATCGCTTGAACCCGAGAGGTGGAGGTTGCAGTGAGCCGAGACCACGCCAATGCATTTCAGCCTGGGCGACAGAGTGAGTCTCTATCTCAAAATAAAATTAAAATAAAATAAAATAAAATAAAATAAAATAAAATAAAATAAAATAAAAACAAAACAAAATAAAATAATAAAATAAAATAAAATAAAATAAATAAAATAAAATAGTCTAATCAATTTGAGCTAGATTTGGTTGGTTGATGAAAGTGGAAAACCTGTTTTCATCTCTCTGAATTAATGTTATAAAAAAACAAAACATAGAACTGAAGATAGACCAAATGGCATGACAGCATGAGATTTTCTGACACTCTCACTAGCGAAACTAATCAAAAGTATTTTAAAAATCAAGCATTAACATCTCTGGAATTGTTTCTAAAAGCAAACAGCAAATGAATAAATGTGTCTTAAAGAAAATCTATGGAAAATCAGAACTGACTCCATTTGCAACAGAGCCTGAAGATGTTCAAAACTAAGGACACACTGGAGAAATATGGGGGTTGGGATGAAAAATACTTTGGAAGGAGATTTTTGGATTTAATGAAGATAAGGCCTAAACAGAAGCATAGAAAAGAATAAGAGAAATTAAGAAAAAAAAAAAAGCTGAGAAGAACCCTGGGTGAGAACAAATGTCAAGCATGGATTTGTTGGGCCATAAGATAACACTATGTCTAATAACTTGAGGAACAGTTAGAATGTTTACCAAAGTAGCTACAGCATTTTACATTCTCTTCAACAGTGTATGAGGATCCTGACTTCTATATATTAATGCAAAAACTAGTTATTATTGACTTTTTTATTTTAGTTGGTGGGAAGAGGTATCTCATTGTGGTTTTGATTTAAATTGATCTGATGACTAATGATATACATATTTTTATTTGCTTATGTGCCATTAGTATATCTTTGTTAGAGAAATACCTATTCAGATTTTTTGCCAAATTTTAATTGGATGGTCTTTTAGTTATATATGAATGTTGTTTACATATTCTAGATATCAGCATTTTATCAGATACATTAATATAATTTTGGCAATATAGCACACACATCTTCAAAAATATGTAGTACAACAGGCACATTCAAATCTCTTTCACTATGAACACCTTAGAGATATGAATATTATACAAGTAAAATCCTTGTGATTTCTCAGGACATTAAAAAACTTTGATATAAAGCATTTTTCTAAGAAATTTTCTCCTGATACATTTATGGGAGAGTTCCAATTTTTCACTTCAGTATAATAGTAGCTAACAGATCTATAACTTAGCTATATTAATATACATTTGCTAACATTTGGGAGAAGATTCAGTTTAGCATTCCTGTCCTGGGTGGCTTCCCAGACACATTTAATCAATTAATTTAAAAGTTTTCTTGATAAAACTGGAAATTAATACACAAGTAGAGGAAATAATAAAACGATCTCTTTATGTACCCATCACACACCTTCAAAAATTATTCACTAATGGAAAATCTTGTATCATCTAAAAACCCTGCCCATACCCCCCTTAATCACTTTATTTTAAAGCAAATTTCAGACATTACTAATTTCACTTCTAAGTATTTCAACATTTGCTTCTGAAAGTTAGGGTTCCTTTTTTCCCTAAGTTTATCCACAATATTATCATTTTATCACAAAAAGTAACGGTAATTTCTTAATATAATAAAATATCCAAGAATGGTTCATATTTTCTCATGATACACAAATGTGTTTGTTGTTTACTGTTTATATTTAATAAGGTTTCACATAAGGGTTATACATTGCAATTCATTTATACACTTTTAAAGTCTGTTAACAATTTTCTTCTTACTCTTTCTCTCTCTTAGTTTATATTCCACCCTTCCAGAGTATAAAACAGATTTTCCATTTTCATCAACCCCATCTAGCTCAAATAGCTCATAAGGGACTTAGGGACTCTTCCCATACTTTTCTGTGGGATTTTTTTTTTACATATGGATATATCATATGAGTGCCTTGGTAGAGTATCATATTCCTTTCTGGATTCCTTAGCACAATATGAAAGAGGTAAATGATTCCCCATTTTACCATATTTCCCTAGGCTTCCAGTATATGCACATCCTAATTCCCAGAACTTGTTAATTCCTCTACCTGCTTAAATCACAGCCACATGTGATTGTTTACTTAAAGACTAAATTAATTTTAATATCAGACATCAACAAAACATAAACACAAATCTCGGTAAAGGAAAGAGAAAAGGAGATTATTGTTAAGTATAGATATACTTACAGTGGTGAAACTTCACTTATGGATTCCAAATTCAGCTTATTTTCAGCTTTGTGTATGTTATTTTTATACATCTTTCATCAGTTTTAATATTCTACTCTATAAAGCAGTTATTCTAAACCCAAAATGGCAGATTGCATGAAAATTTCTCACAAATTTTGGGGTAGGGAAGAGAATGGCTTTGACTATTTTTATTATTAATGAGGATTGCTGAAATTTCAGTTGTTCCATAACAGTTGATATCAATTGTACAGAACACAATAATATCTGAATCAGTGAAAGTGTATGGAAATACAATGAATGCTTTTATATTCCGATCACTGGTTTATTAGCCCTTTATATCACAGTTCATATTTTTATTTGTTAGCATTTTGAATTGTATAATAAATAATTTTTTTGCATTTTCATGGCTTACTGATATACTTCTTTGGTGCACGTTCCCTCATTTGAGATTGGTTACATTGCAGCTGACACAAGTGCAGTAGAATTGTATGATTCTCAGAATAGAATCAGTTTACTTCTTTTTGGCAAAGAAAGGTCAGAGAATAGTTGCCAAATTAATAAGCATTCCACAATAAATTAGGAAAGAAAATACACTTTTCTTCAGAGAAAAACAAAATTAATGTTTTTATATTCTAAACAGTATTTATTTTGTATCTACAATTCTTTCATTATTCACCTCTCTTTATTAACCCTACAGTATGCAGGGGAATAGATGGCTTTGAAAAACCTCTATTAACTCATTGCTTTGTAGTTTTGAATTCATACTACAGTTCAATAAAGCAGAACTTATGTCTTTCATTAACATTTCTTCTCAGTGCCAGATACTGTTAGTAAAACAGCTTCAGATGATTGATAATATATTAGATAGATGGATAAATAGACAGATAAATTCTTTAGAAATACTACTGAGAAATGGAACAAACTATTGAAATGTTTTTTCTTCCAATAACTCATTTTAATCAGTGTGATTAATTAATATTTTTATAAGAAATTTTTGTGCCCTAATCTCTCTGCAGTCATTTTATTGCCCTGTACCTAATCTCACAGACCTGTTGTATGGGTGTTATATTGTAACACTCTTGGATAACTTTTAAATGTCAATGTATTAATTTTATATTATTGTTTATCAAATTATCACAACCGTAACTATTAAACCAATATAATTTTATTATATTGCGGTTTCAGTGCTTTAAGGGTCCAGGCATAGATTAGACAGTTGTAATCAGTTTCACTGAACTAATATCTAGGTGTTGGAAGGTCTGTGATCTAACTTGAAATTCAGGTTTCTCTTCTAAGTTCACTTGGTTGTTATCAGAATTTAGTTTCTTGTAGCTGTGTGAATAAGGCTCTAAGCTCCTCAAGGAAATCTGCTATTCTATGCCATGTAATCCTCTCCACAACATGGCATTTTGATTCTTTAAGACAAGAAAGGAAGTTTCCCTCCTCCTTTGAACTTTTCTGACTTTTTCTTTCTGACTTCTAGACTACATTTTAAGGAGCTCAGATTATTAATTACAGCCCACCAAGAATAATTTCCCTTTTGATTAATGTAAAATCAACTGATTAGGAAACTTAATCACACCTCCACAATCACTTAACCTTTGCCATATAATGTAATCTAATCATGGAGTGATATTCCATCATAATCACTTGTCCGGCTAATACTAAAGGTGAGAGGATTATATAGGCATACACACAGGGGATAGACATCTTGTGTGCTCTCCTAAAATGATGCAAACCAGAAATATATATTTTATTTCTTTCAAAGATACCTTATGTTATTATTCCTGTGTCCTCCGGGCATTTTCCTTGTCATTATGTCAGCCAAGTAAAATTGAGGGACAAGTTAAGAGAATTAATAATGTTACAATTTTAGAAAGCTTTCTGTCTAAAGAACCCAAAGTACTGCCAAATCACCTTATATCAAAATACATGATGTAATTCAAAAAGTCATGTTCTCAATGTGCTAGCAAGGAACTTTTAGAACATTTCAAAAGCTGACTGATAAAATGTGAAATTAAAACATTGACTTGTTGATGAACACATTCACTCTTGCTATATATTTCCAACTGATACCGCACAGCAAGCGTTCCATAGTCCAAGAAGTAGAATGTTAAATCAAATATCATGAAATTATGTATAAAATATGTCTTTATAAATGTTGTTAGTTATATTATTTAAATTCTTTACCTATATTCAATATTTGCCACTTGACTATTGCTTGTGTGATTATTGTGTGACTATTAAGTGTGTTTATGCAATATATCTCTATTTAAAAAACATATGGTGAGACAGGGTTGGCATCAGCACCAGCAGAGTGGGCTTGGATGGGCACAGCTTGGAGGGAAGCATTTAAGCCAGGGTCTTGTGAGGACAGCCTCATCTACAAGAAACAAATCAGGGACAAAGATGCAAGATATCTCATGGACTTCCCATCATGCCCAGGGTGCCCAAGAAAACAGCAGCAGAAACCCATGGTCCACAGAAAGAAACAGCTTCAAGAGCTTTATTTTGAATAGAACAAATACCCAACCTACCAGAAGGGAAAGCACTGGGCTGGCAGGCTCAGTTGGGCCAAAAGTCTCCACCTGAAGGAGCACCAAATACCGGTGTGGCATGAGAAAAGCCAGGCCAGATACTCTAGGCAGCAGCTACAGCATCAGCTCCAGTGATAGTGGAGTGAGGTGAGGGAGGCGAGGGTGCCTGGCACATACTGGGGGAGCCCCGCACCTGTGGGTTCCGTGTTAGGAGAGAGCGGCAAATTTTTGCAATTCTTTTGTCATTCCTTTGGCCCAGCCACTTGGGAATCTTTAAAGCAGCAGGACCCACTGTTCCAAGCCATAGCCAAACCTGAGGGCCCTGTGCCTGGTGCCCAGTAGGGCTCTACGGCTGACCCAACCCTAGCCTGGCCTTAGGACCCCTGTACCTCCCATTGTTGGCCAGATTCTGCATTATGCTTTGACTCCACAGGACTCCTCTAATGCCCAAAGAAAGAGATGATTTGTGAACCAGAAAGACCCTGATTCCAAGACCTTACTGAATTTATAAAGGGAATCTGTCCTTGAACAGTCCTGCAGATCCCAGGGGACTCAGAGGGGACAGGGGCACTGTCCACCTGCTCGCTGCATGAGTGAGGGTGCCCACAGTGGTGGCTGGTTGGTTTTCACTGATGGTTACTCTTTCCCACCACGGCCGCACCGCCATTTCTTTATCCGACCTGCTAGTGTTGGGCCTTTACATATTTTTACTGTGCTACCATGACAAGTTGGGATCCACTTCCTATTATTTTGAGTGGCCTCTAAGCATTTCCGTCAGTTTGGAATTGCTCCTCATGGAATATGTTTAGCTTTAGTGAATGCCACCCATGAGCAGCTACCTTGCTCATTTTCCTTTCCTTTCCCTTCACCCCCTTCCTCCCTCCCTTCTTCCCCTCCCTTCCCGTTCCCTTCCCTTCGTTCCCCTCCCCTCCCCTTCCCCTCCCTTCCCTTCCCTTCCTTTATTTCTTCTTCCCTCCCTCCCTCCCTTTCTTCCTTCCTTCCTTCTTTTCTTCTCCCCTTCTTTCTTGTTTCATGTATATATGATGTAAATCATGACTTTTTTATGTAAATATACCCAGCGAATTGATTACTACAGTGAAGCCAAGTAACATATACATCATCTCACACTTTTGTGTATGTGTATGAGTGTGTGGTAAAAGCAAATAAGTCTGCTTTTTCAGCAAATTTCCAGTATATGACACAGTATTATTAACTCTAATTATCATGCTTTACATTAGATCTCCAGACATAGTCATCATACTTTATTGCAACTTGGTGCCCTTTGGCAACATCTCCCCATTCTCAACAACTGTTCTGCTCTCTGTGTCTATGTACTCAACTTTTTCTTTTTATTTTAGATGCTACATGTGAGATCATGTACAATATTTTTATTTCTGTGTGTGGCTTTTTACACTTAGCATAATATTTTCATATGTCATTCCTATTTATAGCCATAAATACCAATGAGATTTCTAAAGGGAATTGAAGTCTTGTTTGTCCAGTGCTCCTGCTGGTCAGCAACCTTGCTGACATTTAAAATTGTGAGACTTTTAAACATTTGATGATCTGCTGATATCATAATTTTAACATTCATTTTCCTGAGGATCATAAAGTTGAGCAATTCTCGTGTTATCAGACATTGAGGAATCCTCATAAAGTGTTTATTTATGTTTGTTTTTCTGAAGATTGTTTTTGCCAGTTTTTCTAGTTGATTTGATTATTTACAATGATTAAGAATTTCTCAACACTAAACTCTCTTGGCAATTAATATGCTGCATATCTCCCATACCTTGCATTGTGTTTTTAATCTTAGAATGTCTTTCACTGAATATATTTTTTAAAAATTTTAATGTCTATTTTACCACTTCTCTCATTGTATAGCGTTAAAAAAATTACTGTCTTTAGTTTGCTGATACTTGAGTAAATGCATGTGTGTGTATATATATATGTATATAAAAAATAGAAAATGTATATATATGTATAAATGTGTAATAGAAAACAAAGATTTTCCAAATACAAATACAATTTAAGAATTAGATTCAATATACATAAAATTGTACGTTCAAACTGTTATGAACATATTTAAATATTATCTGTTGGTCACAAAAAAATTGCTGACTATAACAATTATAATGAGAACATTAGTGCATTGGTCTAGTTTTTCCTTTTCTTTTTTTCTTTTACCCCCTAGTGTTGTTGCTTTCTTGTTTAAGAAATCCCTTACAATCCCAAGGTTGTGAAGATATTCTGTTAAATTTCATATAAGACTTGCTTTTAAAAGCCTTACTTTAACTTTTCATATTTAAGCATTGAATACATATGATTATTCAATAAGGTGTGTGTCAGGGGTTCAATTAGGCATTCTCTTTCTCATAAATATGCAATTGTCCTTTGTCAATTGAAGAGATAATCCTTTCCCCAGCGCTTGTCAACGCCATCTCTGTCATGTATGAAGGATTTATCTATATTATATACTATGTTATTGAAGTTTATATTTTTGTGTTGGTGGTCTATATCTATTCTGGAATCAATAACATGCTGAATTAATTACTATAAGATCAAAATAAGTCTAGATATTTGGCAAGGTGGATCTTCCTACCTGATTTTTTTTTTCTTGCTTTGTTCTTTATTGAGAGTCTCCCAGTTTTTTCGGGGAGACTACAAAATTTTAAAACAGCTTTCAAGTTCCCCCAACATCGGTTGGGATTTTAAATGGAATTGCATTAAATTAAATGACTTTTCAGAAATTGTTGTTTTTACAATACTAAGTTCTCCAATCTGAGAATATAATTTATTTATTTATTCACTTGAGCTTTCACAAAATTTTATTTTTATCTGTTTGTCTTATACATAAAATTCAGGTGATATATTTATATTTATTTTGTATCCAGGAACCTAGCTCACCTCTTTTTAATTTTAGTAACTTTTGTGGACATAGTTTAGGGCTTTATAATTTGAAAATTCATTCAAGTAATATGAAAAATAATGTATATATCTTAATATATTTTTACAAGATTTCCATGATTTTTATCAATTTTCAAAATAATCACTAAAAGTAAAATAATAGGCACTATCAAAACCGAAACATATGTTAAAATACAAAGAAAAGAGATTATACAGATAAGAAAACACAAAATAAATATAACAAAATAAAACATTTGATCAGCCATACCAGATATATAAAAGCATCAAATGAGTTTACCTCATCTATTAAATAAAAAAGGATCTTCAAATTGACTCAAGAAGTAAAACCAGTTTTTATGCTGGTTACAGAAAAATAGTGAGTAAAAGGCTAATATAACCAAATTAGAAAAGGTATCCTAGACAGCTTTAAAAAGAGAAAAACAGCAGAGATTGAGATCTTGATCTAAGACAAGGCAGAGTTGTACCTCAAAAGTTCTTTAAGAAAAGAAAAGATAATATGATATTAAAAGTCACAATTCATAATGCATATTTAACAGTTATGAATAGCTAAACTTTGAATAACATAGGTACCATCTTTATAAACCGAAACTTTAAAAGACAGAATAAGAAATAAATATAACTTTTCTGTATCAAGAACTTACTGCTACATAATAAGATCTCCAAACTCAGTAGCTTAAAACAAAATATATTTATTTTGGTAATAATTTGTATTATCATGGGAATTTAAACTGGGTTCAACTGGGTCCTTTTATTGGGCTTAGCTACTTCATGCATTTGAGGTTAATTAAATGCAGGCTGGCTTAGAGGTCCTTCTCCTAGGGCTTGGCTGACCAACAGATATCATGCCTCAACTCTTCAAATGGTTTCTTATCCTCTATCAAGCTAATATGGGTTCATTTTCCCAGGAGAGCGAGGAGTCTGCAAAAGAGCAAAAATGAACAAGAATACTTGAGGCTTAGACTTGAAGAATGGTACATTTTGGCTAGTTACTTATTTTATTTGCTAAATCAACTAATAAGACAAACCCAGGGGTTTTACATCTGAGAAGAAAAATCATACAATCATCAACAGAGTCTGATAAGGTATCTGATTATATCAAACACAGACATCTAATGCTATTGAAACCTTTTTATTTATACATATTTAGAAATCAAGTGAAGTGCTACAGATAAACACAGAGTTCGACAATACTATGTAACGTCAGGACTTGAGATACCAGCAAAGGCTTTTCTTGGAATGTACATTTAAATAAATATCTGTATAAAGAGCAGGGATTAGAGAGGGAGTGGTTAGTGGCACTGCATGTAGTGAGAATGGCAAATGTAGATAGACCTAGTCTGGAAAATAAACAAGAGCCTAATATGTCAAATGGACTAAAAGAAGGCCAGTAATGTGAACAAGATATAGGAAAGATTTGGAGAACTAGGCAGTAGGCTAAGAGCAGATTAAAGAAAATTTGTTGCTCTGAAAAAAAGACATTGGCACATTTCTCAAGACAACTCAATAATGTGTCCTAAAAGCCTTAAATATATATATATATATATATACACACACACATATATATGTCAAATATGTATATGTGTGTGTCAAATATACACATATTTTGTCAGATATGTATATATTTTGTCAAATATATATATATATATACTTGACCTAAAATTCATGTCTTTTGAGTTATCCTAAGAAAGATACAGAAGATAAACATAGACTTAAGTAAATGATATTCAACATGGTATTATTTTATGTAATGCAAAAGAAAGATTGTACAATACAAGTAAATCAATAATTAGTTAACTAAATCGTATTATATCTATATATAAAGTATTTGGAGTAAAAAAAATTCTGAAAAAAACATTATTTATAAACAATTATGTTTATTACATATTGTTGAGATGGGGAATGAACTCTTCCAAATTCCAAATAAATTCTAATGCTATCATACATTTGATATTCATTGATATTCCAAATTATATTTTTGCACTTTAGATCCAAACATATGTCATATATGGCTATAGGAGTCACATGTGACAAAGGCACAATTTTACATTTGTAATATATTATGACTTATAATCTTTAAGAAATGTAAACATTCTGTTTCAGTTGTTTGTACACTTAAAATGTTGGAGTGGCTTTCTTTTTTTAATAAGACTACTAGAGCATATAAACATTTTAAATATTAATGTTTAAAGTAAAAATATGATTATTTTCTGGGGGCCCAGATATCACATTTTATAATTACATAGAACAACTGAAGTTTATGGAAGTTGGTAAAATTATTCATTAGAAAGCGAAGAAACAGTTAGCAATTATTTACACATTTCTTAAAAAAATAAATTTAACTTTTAATAATAATCAAGTCAATTGAAGTTATATTAGACAATTATAAGTGTGACCATATTTTTAAAAATTTCAGTTTGTGGAGAGATAAGTTGAATTTTTAAAACACATAATATAATTACTCATCTTTGTAATGTTTGTCAGTAAAAGATTCATTGATAAATATTTTGGATAAAATTTTATTTTTCTTATTTTAAATCACAATAATAAGTTATCAATATAGAAATTCTCATCAATGATAATGACAAGTAAGCTATAAATTTATTCATTTCAAACTAGAATAACAAATACATATAATTATTTTTTGGATAATTCAGATGAAGAGCAGACTCAACACTGTACAAAATAAATAATAAAGTTGAAAGATTCTTTAAAATAATTGTTTTAAAAAGCTACACAAAGCAATTTTCATTTTAATATTTAAAACATTATCTCTTAGAAGTGAGATATCAATGTTAAATACACTTTCTACGTATACCTGACATTAATAATGATGTTTCAAAACTATTCTAGTCATTTTTTTCAATTAAAATTATCTACTTCTGTTAAGTCCAATTAGATTGATTCATAGAGCAACTCAGCTATAAGTAATATTTTTAACAAGGCATCTAAATTTTTAAATTAATATGCATCCATTTACATTTGACATAACAATAGTTAACAAGTCACTTTTATTAATGATAGCTCAAAATTTAGGGAAAGAAATCTTAGAATGTTATACTATTTATAGGAAAATATTGAGTTCTTAAGAAAACTGAAGACCAGATATTTGATCATAAAGAACACTATCAGTCAACATTTGTGCTATATCAATAAATGTGCTTGTTTTCTCTTCCTCAGTTTTGGAAAACAATATATCATGGCAGTTAAGGATGCAAATATGACTTCAAGATTTACTAGCTTCCTTATCAAAGGACAAATAGCACAATTTTCTTACACCTCATTTTTCTCAAATGATAAAAAATTGTTTTATATATATATTTATATATAATATATAATAATATATCTCTATATACTAATAATAAAATAATATATTAATAATAAAATAATATATTATATATAAATTATATCATATTAATAATATATAATATATGAATTATATTATATTTATAATATAAATTGACATAAATATATATTACATATTATATATACAGATATTATATATTATACATAATATATATTATACATAAATATATTATACATTATACATAATATATAGTATACATTATACATAATATATAGTATACATTATACATAATATATAGTATACATTATGCATAATATATAGCATACATTATGCATAATATATAGTATACATTATGCATAATATATAGTATATATTATGCATAATATATAGTATATATTATACACTATATATCATACATTATACATTATATATGATATATTATACATTATATATCATATATTTTATATATATAAATATATATAATATATATTATATTTATATATATTATATATAATATATATATTATATATTATATATATAATATATATTATATTATATATTATATATATTATATATTATATATATTATATATATTAATATAATATAATATATATAATATATAATATATATTGTATATAAAGATATATATTATATATTGAAATATATATATAAAGATATATATACACATATATATACACATCCCTTCAGTGATAGAAAGCTAATAGGTACCCAATAAAGAATAAAGGTACCCAATAAAGAATAAAATATTACTCTGATTTTCATAATAAATATTTCATTAATTTCTGAGATCTAGGAAAATCTATGTATCGTAGTGACATTCATGAAATTTATATGTGTAATGTGAGGCATTATAGTTAATTAAGATAAACATGCTTGCAAAGTAAAAATTAACATAATTTTATGATAAAACAACCCAAAAACTTGAGATCATTTACTATACCCATATAATCTTACAGATGAGTAACCTCCTTCCAGAAATATTTAATAATTTGTAAAAATTGATAATTGACCAAAACTAAAACACAGGTATACTAATTAATATTCTAGTATTTCTTTTATAGCTAAGATTTAGATAATATAAATATTACCCTAATTAGTTAAATGGCTCATGACAGTAAGAAAATGCATTCGACATGGTACTTTTAAATAAGAATGAATGACTCAGTCAATCTAATAATCAATCGATCAACAAATAGCTGTTAGTTGAACGTGTGCTTCATGTAGTTTTCTATTTTATTTTAGCAAAGGCTGAAAAAATTTGTGTAGAGGAATCCCAAAACAGAAAATAGGATTAAAGGATACAAAATAAATGGGAGAAATGAAATTATTTTACCACTTTAAATTTGCTTGCATTCTGTTTTCTGAGAAAAAGATTTTCATTAATGTAAAAGTCAACTGAGTTGTGAAGTGTATGAAGAATTTAATTGAGGAAAACAGCGAAATATAAAATTGGCAGTTCATAAAGTAAGCAAAAGTATATGAGTAAGTTAATAATTTGTGTTGAAAACTACATTAAAATAGACTAAAAAATGCATAGAATTTATTTAAATTAAATATGTTATTCAAATTTAAATTTGGAGTTATTACCAAAAGAACACTTGGTACTCCAATAAGAAAAGCCTTCTCACATTCTACCTGCTATTATCCTCATGATACAATTGTACACCTTTTAAAAATTATCTTCATTATTCTAAGATTTACCTAATTTTTACTTATTATCTCATGATTCTACAGGCATGGTTCATTTCATAGAAGTTATTTTCTAATTCTATAAAGAAAAATGAGGGATAACTCATAGGACTTAGGTAGAGCCTCTACATTTAAATATAGGATGGGAAATAATAGGAGAATCTAAGTACAGAATATATTATGAAGATTGTGTTAGTACATTTTCACACCACCCTAAAGAACTTCTGTGAGCCTGGGTAATTCATAAAGAAAAGAGGCTTAATGGATTCACATTTCCACATGGCTGGGGAGGCCTCAGGACACTTACATTTATGGCGGAAAGGGAAGCAGGCACCTTCTTCACAAGAGTAGGAAAGAGAAAGTGTCTAAAAGAGGAACTGTCAAACACTTATCAAACCATCAGATCTCCTGAGAAGTCACTCACTTTCATGAGAACAGCATGGGGACAACTGCCTCCACAATCCAATCACCTCCCACCTGGTCTCTCTCTCAACAGGTGGGGATTATGGGGATTACAATTCAAGATGATATTTGGGTGGGACACAGAGCCAAACCATATCAAATATCTTATATAGACAATTTCAATTATTAGCCATAGGTTAAAACAATAACAATGAGTATTTTGAAGTTATAGTTTAGCTATGTGTGATATAATTAGTATTATTAGTCTACCTTAAAGTCATATTTTGAGAGACAGAACCTTCATTCAACGAGTAAGTATGAAAAATAACGGAAATAACCTCAAGGCTCATATGAAAAACCTGAAAGTGCTGGTAAACTTATCTTTATCAGAACCTATTAGATTAGTTTTATGTTAGCAAAATAATCTTTTATTTGCTAATATTATTCCCTTTCATCAAGTTTATTTTTGAAATAGAAACGTAACACCTGTACATATTTATGGGGTACATGTGATACTTTTATACAAGCATACAATGTGTAATTAACAAATCAGCGTAGTTGGGATACCCATCACCTCAAACATTGGTTTTAGGAATATTCCAAATATTATATTTTAGCTGTTTTGAAATATACAATAAATTATTGTTCACTATAGTTGCCCTGTTGTGCAATTGAACACTAGAACTTATTTTTTTTTTATCTAACTGTATTTTTTAACCCTCTTTTTATTCTCCCCTTCTTTTCCAATACATTTTCTGCTTTCTGGTAACCACTATTCTATTTACATTAGATCAATTTTTGTAGCTCTCACCTATGAGTAAGATAATGCAATACTGTCTTTCTGTTCCTGGTTTATTTCACTTAACATCACGTCTTCCAGTTCCATCCATGATGCTACAAATGACAGGATTTCATACATTCTTATGGCCGAATATTATTCCATGATGTGTACATACCAAATTTCTCCATCCATTCTTTTGTTGATAGACACTGAGATGGATTCCACAATTTGGCTATTGTGAATATTGCTACAATAGACATGTGAATACAGAGAGCACTTTGATATCTGATTTTCTTTCTTCTGGGTATATAAATAGCAGTGGGATTGCTGTATCATATGACAGTTCTATCTTTACTTTTTTGAGGTTCCTCCATACTGTTTTCCATAGTGGCTGTATTAATTTGCATTCCCCAAAACAGTGTACGAACATTTCCCTTTTTCTGAATCTTCACTAGCATCTGTTATTTTCTGTCTTTCTGATAATAATCGATTTAACTGGGGTGAGATAATATCTCACTGAGGTTTTAATTTGCATTTCCCTGTTTATTAGTAAGTGTTGAACATTTTTGCATATACCTGTTGGCCATTGGATATCTTGTTTTGAGAATATCTATTCAGACTATTTGCCTATTTTTAATTGGATTATTTGCTTTTTTGCTATTGAGTTATTTGAGCTCCTTATACATTCTGGTTATTAATCCAGTGTTGGATGGATTGTCTGCAAATATTATCTCCCTTTCTTTAGGCTGACTCTTCACTTTGTTGATTGTTTCCTTTGCTGTGAAGCTTTTTGGCTTAATATAATCTCATTTGTCATATTTTTCTTTTGTTGCCTGTGCTTTTGAGGTCTTACTCAAGAAATCTTTGCCTAGACCAATGTCCTAAAATGATTCCCCAATATTTTATTCTAGTAGTTTCACAGTTTCAGATTTTTTATGTTTAAGTCTTTAATTAATGTTGTTTTAATTTTTGTATATGGTGAAAGATGGGGGCCTAGTTTTCTTCTTCTGCATATTAATATCTAGTTTTTCCAGCACCATTTACTGATGAGGCAGTCCTTTCCTCAATGTATGTTCTTGGTACCTTTGTCAAAAATGAGTTCGGATTTATTTCTGTATTTTCTATTGTTGCATATGTCTGTTCTTTTGCCAGTACCATGCTATCTTGGTTACTATAGCTTTGTAGTATATTTTGAAGTCAGGTAATAGAAATTAAATACTATGTGCTCAAAAAGTTGGTGGGGCAAAGAAGAAATTGAGATGGAATTTTAAACAAATTCTTGAAACAAATAAAAATGGAAACACAACATACAAATATCTATGGTATACAACAAAAGCAATACTAAGAGAGATGTTTATAGCAATAAGCACTGACATAAAAAGAACTACTTCAAATAACCTAATTATATACTTCAAAGAAGTAGAAAAGCAAGAACAAAACAAACTCAAAATTAGTAAAAGGAAAAAAAATTAAATATCAGAACAAAAATAAATGAAATCTAGACTAAAAAATACAAACAATGAACATAACAAAAAGTTGTGTTTTGAAAAGATAAACAAAATCAACAAACTTTTAGCTAAAGAGCAAAAGAGAGTGTGGTGGCTCATGCCTGCAATCCCGGATTCTTGGGAGGCTGAGGCACGAGAATCGCTTGAACCTGGGAGGTGGATATTGCAGAGAGCCTACATCATGCCACTTGCACTCAAGTCTGGGCCATAGAGTGAGACTCTGTCAAAAAAAAAAAAATGAAAAAGAGAAAACATCTAAATAAAATCACAAACAAAAAATGCAGTCATTACAATTGATATCAAGTTTATCAATTGTGGTGATTATGGCATTAACACACCATCAATTGGAGCAATGCAACACTTGCAGGACCAAGTGCATAAATTTGCTAAAAATTTCCAAAAATCAAATTACATTATGCTCTATGAGAAAATAAACGAGTTTTGGCATTTATTCATCACTGTTGTGCAACAATATGTTTTCTTAACTTTTAACGAAATAAAAATGACAGTTTATTCTAAAAGAAAGTGAAAGCAGAATGTTTCTATAACTTATGCATGGACCTCTAAATGATATAGGCACTTAAATGTTGTTTGTACTTTGAAATCATTTTATACAAACAGTCTTCTTTTTCATATTTTTACTAAACAAATTACAACAAAGGAAATATGTGGGGACAAAATTGATAAGTATAAAAATAGTATTAAAGCAAAATTCTCAGTGTTGCCTTCTTTTCTTACCTTTCTTAGCATGATATTTGTGCCCATATCATGCCTCATCTCTCCTCTAGGCAACTCTTATATAGACATGAGTAGACTACAATTTGCATAGCTAGATGATTCCCATGCTACTCAGGGAGATTGCAAGGCCTTAATTTAAAAAAGGTGGCATTTTGCCTTATTGAAGATTGGATACATAGTGAACAATTTGAGATTTCTCTAAGTACCTTGGAATCCCTAGTTTAGCTGCTGCCAAGAGGGAGTTATTAAACCTTAATTTTAAGACTGAGGAACATGGAAATTTAATGTCAGTCAAGAGAAAAATTGACAGATTTCATTTCTGAGAGCCCTGGGGACAAAAACTGTGGCCTTCCCATAAGAACTATCACATGGTGACATGTTATAAAGAATTGCTTCTACAAGGAGTTTCTGATGCAAATGAACACATACCTTCTAAAGGTTATATAATGTTCTACCTGACACAAAAACAGACTAGACATTTCTCCTTTAAGATAACACCTAGCCACAGCCCCTATTGCCACTTTTCTTAAATTTACACTAAAATATCTATGGGAAAACACACACACAATAATAATAATAATAATGAAAGAATCTTAAAAACAAAACGAGCACTAAAAGTGAACTTACTGCTAAAATCAATTCTTGGGTTTCCAGTAACTACCCAAATAAGAGAAAGAAATTAAAAATGTTCAGTTTCTAAAAAACAGTTAAAGCTACCATTCTAAAGAAGAAAAAAATAGAAACCCTCAGGTTCTTCTTTAATGTCCACATACTGAGTCATAATCTCATTGTCTATTCTTCTATATAAAGTTTGCCACTCATAAAATAATGAGTGAGACGTATGTGTCAGGATTTAGGAATTGTTGATTCGATGCTGTTTTTAAAATTGAGTGAGAAGATAGAAGTGACACCCCAAAATTCATATATAGATAATTGTAGCTTATTTTTAAACATTTTTACTCTTCTGATTCATAATATCAAATAATCAAACAATAAGAATAAAGATTTTTCTCAAATTAAATGAATGTTTTGTGTACCAGGGAAGTAGGCTGTTCTCAAGCTGTGCATCTGAAAGCGAAATCACTCAGCTTATACAAAAAATGTGAGCAGAATTTAAATTAAACACCCACAAGCTAAGACATACCAAGACCTTTCATTCAGCCTCTTCAATGTCTTTATTCTGTCCATTTTCTTTATCAGCATTGCCACTAATGTAAAAACAAAAGAATATCTTTAACTAAATCACTAAAATAGTCTTCTATAATTGCTCCTTTTCCTATAATCTTTCTCTGTCCAGTTTATTTGTCACACTGGAATGAAGTGATCTCTCTGAAATGCATGTACAATTATGACATTCTCTTTATTAAAACTTTTGAATTGTGACTCATTATTTTTTAGGATAGTTGAAACTCCCTAAGACAACTTGTGACTCCTGTATTATGTGGATCATTTTTTAAATCATTTCAGTCACACATTTTCTGCTAAAACAGTGTGGTAGGCAAAACAATGTCTCTTCACTCCTGCAGAAATGTTCACATTCTGATTCCCCAAACCTGTGTGTCTGTTACTTCAGATGGAAAAATGGACTTCCTAGGTGTTATTAAATTAAGGACCCTGAGGCGGGGAGATTAACCTGAATTATCTGGCTATAGTCAATATAATTGCAAAGATCCTTATAAGATGGATGCAGAAAATTCAGAGTTGGAGAAGGGCATATAATGATGACAGAAACAAAGGTAAAGGGAAGAGACAGAAACCATTTTGAGATTTTTGACTTTCAAAACTGAGAGATAATATATTTGTGCTGTTTTAAGCCACTAGAATTGTGGTTTGCTATGGCAGCAATAGGAAACTAATGTACTTCACAAATGTAAAAAAGCGAAAAAAAAAAAAAGGAGCTAAATCAATTCTATGAAGCTATAGAAGAAGTGAGGGACCGGGGATCACATAGGAGAAACCATGGGACAGAATTGGTAAAGGCAATATTTTAAGACTTAAATTCTTACCAAATTAATATATATTTAATATAGTCCTAATAACAATTTCAAATGTTATTTATATTAATTGACAAAGTAATCCTACAATGTATATGAAAATACAAATAGTCTAAAGTAACCAAGAAAATCTTGAAAAGCAGAAAATTTATACTGGTAGACTCTAAGACTTACTATAGAATTACAATAATTGAGATAGAACTACTGGAATAGTAGTGTTAGCCTAAAACAGTGTATAGAAACAGATTCACAAATACATGGGCATTTGATTTTCAAGCAAGGCACTAATTCAGTTCAGTGGACAAAGTAAGATATTCTCACAAAATTGGGGTGGAGTAACTGAATATTATCAGAAAAAACATAAATATTAACTATTTCATGGCACAGTCAAAAATATTTTTTTCCACGAAAGCTAAAACATGATGCTTTTAGGACAAAAGAGAAAGAGAAAGAAACTGCAGCTTTGAGGAAGGCTAAGATATTTTTAGATAGCATGCAACACCATTAATTTAAAAATATGTGCATAAAACTAGCATCTAGAATATGAAGAACATCTTCATCACTCATGATATTTCACTCATAATGCTCTCTCTTATATAAAGACCAAAAGGCTAACCACCATTCTCATTTATTTGTACCAAAGATAGTGTTTTATGTTGTTGAATTTCTTATAAATAATACTATACAGTATGCATTCTTTTGTATTTGGCTTTTTTCTCTCAATGTGTTCTCATAATTAATCCATATATTATTCTGTGTAATAGTAGTTCCTTAATTTTTATCACTGATTAGCATTCCATTGTATGAATATACCACCATTTGTTAATTCATTCTTGTTTGTGGATATTTGGGTCATTTTCATTTTTAGGTTATTATAAATAAGACTACTATAAATACTATTGAGCAAGAATTTTTATCTATGAACACTAGTTTTCCTTCTTCTTGGATAAACACCTAGAATAATAATTACTGAGTTACAGAGTAGATGCATCTTGAACTATACAAAAATCTGTTCAACAGTTTGCCAAAGTGATTTTTCTATTTTATACTTCCATCAGAAATATTTGAGCGTTTTCATGCTTCCTAAACTTGATGTTGTCTGTCTTATTTATTTATTTTTTATTTTAGCCATTGTAGTGGTTGTGAAATATGGTTTTAACTTGCATTTTCCTTAAGGCTAATTATGTAGATTACATTTTTTGTGTGTGTTGGCCATTCTTCTTCATGTTGTTGTGAAATATCTGTTTAACTCTGTTGCCCATTTTTTTCTGGCATTTTAATTCTTGAATAATAAGTTCTATATAGATTTATTAGATATTTATAATAAGACTATATTATCTATAATCTGGGGCTTCCTTATTTATTATCTATATAGAGAAAAAATATTTAACTTTGATAAAATCCAACTTGTAATTTTGTATTCTTTATTATCATTGATTTGGTGTTGCATCTACAGACACTGCCCACCTCAAAATTACGCAGGCATTTATACTATCTTTAGAAATCTTGTAATGTACTGTTTTAAATTTAGATCTATTATTTACTTCAATGTTTTTTGTTTCATTTGATATAGGGGTTAAATGGTACATTTTGGCATTGGGTACACATAAATTTCATCACAATTTGTTAAAAAGAGTTCTTCTATTGAGTTAAATTTGTATTCTGACTGAAAAGCAATTGACTTTATACCTGTGGCCTTATTTCTCTTCAATTTATTCTATTCTATACCTTCAACTACCTCACAGGGACACCCTTCTCATCCTACCTGAGCTCCATCTCTCCTTATAGGGGAAATTCTCCATACATTATTAATCAGGCTTTAATATTTCACAATGGACTATAACTTTTTCTCCCTGTGGACGCTTTCTGATTCCACTTTGTTTCCGAAAACCCTCTGTAGGTCATCATGACTAATCACTACCTATCAATACAGTGAACACTCACATGTTCTGCTAAACATAAAGGATTTTGCACTTAAACTTTTTAAATGGCCGTACTCCCCAGAGCAATTTGCAGATTCAACACTATTCTTACCAAACTACCAATGATATTTTTCACGGAAATAGAATAAATTCTTCTGAAATTTATATTTCTGGGAATAGAATCACATATTCTGTGAAGAGATAATTTGACTTACTCTCTTTCTATTTGAATGTGGTTTATTTCATTCTCTCACCTGATTGTTCTGGCTAGGACTTTCAGAACTGTATTGAATAGGAGTTGTGAGACTGAGAGTGGGCCTCTTTGTCTTGTCCCAGTTCTCTAGAGAAATGCTGCCAGCTTTTGCCCATATAGTATGATGTTGGCTGTGGGTTTGACATAGATGGTTCTTATTGTTTTGATGTATGTTCCATTGATTCCTAGTTTGTTGAGGGTTTTTAATATGAAGGGGTGTTGATTTTATTGGAAGCATCTTCTGCATCTATTGAGATGATCATGTGTTTTTGTTTTTACTTTAGCTTAAGTAGTCAAAGAAATCTATTGATTCACCTATGTTGAACCAACCTTGCATCTCAAGAACAAAGCCTACTTGATTGTTGTTGATTGACTTATTGTTGTGCTGCTTGCTGGATTTGGTTTGCTAGCATTTTGTTGAGGATTTTTGCCTCTGTGTTCATCAGGGATTTTGGATGGAAGTTTTCCTTTTTCATTGTGTCTTTACCAGGTTTTGGTATCAAAATGAGGCCAGGTTCATACAATGAATGAGGGAGGAATCCCTCCATCTGAATCTTTTGAAATATTTTCAGTAAGACTGATACCAGCTCTTCTTTATACATCTGGTAGAATTTGGCTGTGAATACATGTGGTCCGGGGCTTTTTCTGTTTGGTAAGATTTTTTCTCATTGTTTCAAAATCTGAACTTGTTATTGGTCTAATATTTCAACTTCCTGGTTCAGTCTTTGGAGGATGTATGTTTCCAGGTACTCATCCATTTCTTCTAGGTTTTCTAGTTTGTGTGCACAGAGATGGTCATAGCCTCTGAGGGTTTTCTGTATTTCTATGCCTTCAGTGTTAATGCCCCCTTTATCATTTCTGATTATGTTTATTTGGATCTTCTCTCTTTTTTGCCATTGTTAGTCTAGCTAGGAGTCTGTCTGTTTTATTTATTTTTCCAAAAGCCAACTTTTAGTTTCTTTAATCTTTTGTGTCTTTTTTTACATCTCAATTTTGTTCAATTCAGCCCTGGCTTGGGCTATTTCTTTTCTTCTTCTAGCTTTGAGGTTGTTTTTTGCTTTTCTATTTCCTCTAGATGTGATGTTAGGTTGTTAATTTGTGATCTTTCTAACTTTTTTTTAATGTTAATGCAGATATTTAGTGCTAAAAACTTACATCTTATCAGTGCTTTAGTTGTGTCTCAAAGATTCTGGTAGGTTGTATCTTTGTTTTCATAGTTTCAAAGAATTTCTTGATTGCTGCCTTAATCTTAATGTTTACCCCAAAATCAATCAAGATTGGGTTGTTTAATTTCCATGTAACTGTATGGTTTTGAAAGATATTTCTGGAATTGATTTCCATCTTTATTTTCTGCTGTGCTCTAAGATTGAGATTGTAGTTGATATTATTTCAGTCATTTTAAATTTATTGAAAATTACTTTATGCTTTATGATTAACAGAGTATATGCCATGTGTTGATGAGAATAGCACATATGCTGTTGTTTTTGGGTGGAGTGTCCTGCAGCTATCTGTTAGTACATTTGTTGTGTTAAATTTAGGTCCCAAATGTCTTTGTTACTTTTCTGCATCAACAATCTCTTGAATACTATCAGTGAGGTGTTGAAGCCTCCCACTATTATCATGTGGTTATCTAAATCTCTTTATAGGTCTGTAAGAACTTGATTTATGGATCTGGTTGCTCCATTGTTGTATGCATATACATTTAAGAAACTTAAATTTTCTTGTTGAATTGAACACTTTATCAGGTAATGTCCTTCTTTGTCCTTTTTAATCATTGTTGGTTTAATATGTTTTGGCTAAAATTAGAATAGCAACCCCTGCTTTTCGTTATTTTTT
Source organism: Homo sapiens (assembly GCF_000001405.40). Taxonomy (NCBI): domain Eukaryota; kingdom Metazoa; phylum Chordata; class Mammalia; order Primates; family Hominidae; genus Homo; species Homo sapiens. The sequence goes on along the minus strand of NC_000006.12, from coordinate 67,222,225 downwards.
GTTTGTTTGATAGATTTTGCTCTATGCTTTTACTTTAAGTCTGTGAGTGACCTTGCATGTGAGATGGGTCTCTTGAAGACAGGACAAAGTTGGGTCTTGCTTCTAAAACTAATGTGTCACTCTGTGGCTTTTAAATGGAGTGTTTATCCCATTCACATTTAAGATTCATATTGATAAATTGTGAATTTGATCCTGTAATTGTATTAGCTGGTTATTATGTAGAGTTGACTGTGTACTTACTGTATAGTACCCATGGTCTATGTACTTAACTCTTTATGTGGTAGTTCATAATATTATTTCATTTCCAAGTTTGGCACTCCCTTAATGACCTATTGTATGGGTCTGGTGGTACAAACTTCCCTTAGTATTTGCTTGTCTAAAAGAATTTTATTTCTTTTACACTTATGAAGCTTAGTTTGTCAGATTATGAAATTCTTGGTTGGAATTCATTTTCTTTAAGAATACTGAATAACTGCCCCTAATCCCTTCTGGCTTCTAGAATTTCTTCTGAAAATTCCACTGTTAGCCTGGTGGGGTTCCCTTTGTAAGGTGACCTGCCCCTTATCTCTAGCTATTTCTAATATTTTTTTCTTTTGCGTTGACCTTGGAGAATCTGATGTGTATGTGTCATACGGATGGTCCTCTTGTACTATTTTTTGCAGGGCTTCTCTAAATTTCTTGAATTTCAATCTAGCCCTCTCTAGCAATGTTGGGAAAATCTTCATGGACAATATTTGCAAACATGTTTTCCAAGTTCCTTACTCTATCTGCCTCTCTTTCAGACATGCCAATGACTCACTAATCTTGATCTCCTTACGTAATCCCAAATTTCTCAGAGACTTTAGTCATTCATTTTTATTCTTTTTGCTTTATTTTTGTATGACTGAATTGATTTGAAGAACCAGCCTTTGAGCTGTGAGATTCTGTCTTTAGCTTAATTTATTCTGCTGTTAATACTTCTGGTGGCACTATACAACTCTTAAAATGAATTTTTCGCTCTAAAAAATCAGGTGTTTTTAATGTATATTTCATCTTTCAGCTCTTGAATCATTTTACTGTATTCCTTAGATTCCTTGGGATAGGTTTGCACTTTCTCCTGAATCTTAATGGTCTTCATTGCCGTAAAAAGTCTGAGTTCTATGTCTGTCATTTTAGCTATTTCAGTCTGGTTAAGAACTATTCCTGGGAAGCTAATGTGGTCGTTTGGAAGTAAGAAGAAACTCTGGCTTTCTGAGTTGTCACAGTTCTTGTGCTGGTCCTTTCTCATCTGTGTGGGTTGATGTTCCTTTAATGTTTGAAGTTGCTGTCCTTTGGATGGAGTTTGTTATTTTATATTCTTTGCTGCCGTCGAGGATTTGACTGATATAAGTCAAAACCTTGAGGGCAGCAAAGAATATAAAAGATATAAGTTGGGTTGGTTGAATGGCTTTTGATATGGTTTTGCTGTGTTGCCACCTCAATCTCATCTTGAATTGTGACTCCCATAATTCCCACATGTCATGGGAGGAACCTAGTTGGAGGTGATTGAATTATAGGGATGGGCCTTTCCTGCACTGTTCTCTTGATAGTAAATGAGTCTCATGAGATCTGATGGTTTTAAAAATGGGAGCTTCCCTGTACAATCTCTTTGCCTGCTGTCATCCATGTAAGATGTGGCTTGCTTCTCCTGTCTTCCACCATGATTGTGAGGCCTCCCCGGCCATGTGGAACTATAAGATCAGTACACCTCTTTCTTTGGTAAATTGCCCAGTCTCATGTATATCTTTATCAGCAGCATGAAAACGGACTAATGCAGCTTCATTTCTGGATAATTTTACTGTCATAGGCTTAGCTCAGCACTCCTGGGATGTGTACCCTAACTTAGGGTGCTGTGATTAGGTCCATGGCTTTGTTTTATTGCTCCTTGTGCTTAAACACCTGCTACACAGTGAAGCCCGAGGTGTTCCTGGTTCACTGGTGATAACACTCAAATTGGGTGACCTGGGGGGATGATGCTGGCAATAGTGCTCTACTGAGGCAGTGGCAGCAGGGTCTTCACTGGCAGGAAGCAGCAGGTTGGCAGTGTTCTGGAATCTGTACACATATATGTGTGCCAGTAGCAGTGGCATGTCAGGGTCCATATGAGTGCCAGCCATGGTGGAGTCCACATGTGCATATGATGGAGAGGTTGCAGCAGTGAGGTCTGCTTATATGTACAAATACCAGTGGTAGAAGGGCAGTGAGATTCATGCATTCATGTGTGCCAGGAAAGGAGTGGGGGCAGGCTTCAGTTGATTACATGTCAGCAAAGTGATGGGGCAAAGCTGTGGACATGTACATGCCAGTACAGGCCTGTCTGCAAAAGCAGTCTGATGGTTTTGTAGGGTAAAACCGGTAACCGGTGTAAAAGCTATGTTGGTAGCTGCTGGGAAGTGCCGCAGTTGGGCATCTGAGGCTGTACTAAAATTGGATGCAGCCAGACAGGAATCCTAAGAGAGGCCAGAAAATGATGGGGGTACTCAGATCAGCCTGGCCCCATCCCACAGGCAAGATACCCTTGTACTGTTCAGATACAACAGCCAACAAAGGCTAAAGCCATCTAGAGGAGTGTGGCAAGCCTTGGGAGATGGGTTTCCTTGGCCATTCTTTATTGCAGCTGTTCTGGTACCTAACCCTCTGGGATCTGCACAGCCTGGAGTCCTTTCTCTGCCAACATTCCAAGCAGTTTTCTCTGCCTGCTCAAATGTCCATTGGGGTTGTGGGGACTCCTGCTGCTAGGATTCTGGAGATCCATGGTGAGAGTGGGCCATTCCATGCCTATTTAACTCATTCCTTCTCCAGGAGCCACTTAGGACAAGAAACAAATCCTCGTCCTCAGCAACAAGGTGCAGGCTTCTTACGATCCACCCCACTCAGCCCAGATTCGGCATCCTCTCTCTGTACACTCTAAATGTCTTCCTTCTGAAGATCTGCTACAAGTGTACCCGTCTTCTTGATAGTCTGGTCTCTCAGTGGGAGGAGCTATTCCTGGCTGCATCTAGACAGATATCTTGGCTCTACTCTTATGCTATTTTGAATATAATTGCTTTTGCAATTTGATTTTCCAGTTTTTCATAGCTATTATATAGAAATACAGTTGAATTTTGTTTATTCACTTAGTTTGCTGTTATTTTCTAAATTCCTTATTAATTCTAGTATTTTTGTAGATTCCACTGATTTTTTTTACATAAGCAGTCTACTTATCTATGCACTAAATGTTTAAAATTTCATTTACAATGCAAAAGTATCTTTGTCAAAAATAGTAAAATTATAGTTTTTATTTTATCATATAAAAAATCTTAATAAAGTACCATTATCATGAAAACATATTTAACAACAGACAAAACATAAATAAGTTTTTAAATAAGTTAAATAAATAATATATCTTAATATAACTAAGATATATCTGATTTTATAATGGTGCTGTATTTACAGTTTAAATTCTTTTGTAACAATTATAGTTTCTCAATTGGTGCAAAAAATTTCAATGAAGTAGAATATTAATTTCTTCATTCTGTAAAGATTTATTGAGCATCATGTCTTGCCACAAATAATTAACCTCAAATTTGGAAGAGATTGCGACACCTAATTGATAGTGTGATGATTATTCTTTTCTGTTAATAGGAGAACATATTTTTAAAGTGATGTATGTGCATTCATGCATATGCTTGATTATGCAAACTACAGATGTGAATATAATAAGCTTTGATATAAATACATACTTATGTAAAGAAAAAATGCATTTATTTTGGCAGGGTCTAAACATTAATAATGTTAATAATTAATGTCTATACATAGGTAGATTTGTAAATAGACAAATATCTAGATATATATTGATAGAATGGCAGATGGACATTAATTATTATGTATCCTTTTATAGTATTATAAATCTTAATGAGTATTATTTTTAAAGAAATTGATGCAATTTATTCAATAAGAACATTCAAACAAATATGTAAATTATAAAACAAGAACTAAGTTACTTTAAGGTAGCAGAAACACACTAAGAACAATATTTTTTACTTCCAAGAAAAACAAAAACTGAACATTATTAGCCAAATTTAAAAGTTTCACATTCTATCTCACCTACTCTTATTACCCTAGTGAATTTTCTTTAATTAGTAGTGAAAATGAAATGTAGAGAGATTACATGAAAGGATAACCACTAGAAGAAGCTACAAAAGGAAAAATAATCTCTCTACATTTAACCCAAAATTTTTTAGTTATTAGAAAAAATAACGTAGAACCATAAATTAAATATTGTTGATGCCAGGAATTATACTATTAAGAATTTTCAGAAAATTTTCCTCATACAACAAAATTTTATGTTCACAAATACATTGGTGAAAAAAATCAATTTAAGATAGTAGATTTTCAATTAATGACTGAGTTTACTCAGGAATGCCAAGTTGGATTAGTATAAGAAAATTAATTTACATAACACATTAGTAAATTAAAGGAGATAAACATATTATTAATTTACTTAATTTGATAAAACACGTTACAAACAGACACAAAAAAGACTTTGGGGCAAATATAAGAAAAAGTTGTCAAAGTTTGAAAGCTTTTTTTTTAATATCTGGAATAAGCCCAGGGTAATTAATATACCTTTTTTTGGTCATGTGAAAAAAATCAGTGCCCTAATGACAGAAAATAAATAAAACAGTTAGTTTAATAAGAAGCTAATCCTTTCAAAAAAACCACTCCTGGATTCATTAATTTTTTGAAGGGTTTTTTGTGTCTCTATTTCCTTCAGTTCTGCTCTGATTTTAGTTATTTCTTGCCTTCTGCTAGCTTTTGAATGAGTTTGCTCTTGCTTTTCTAGTTCTTTTAATTGTGGTGTTAGGGTGTCAATTTTGGATCTTTCCTGCTTTCTCTTGTGGGCATTTAGTGCTATAAATTTCCATCTACACACTGCTTTGAATGTGTCCCGGAGATTCTCGTATGTTGTGTCTTTGTTCTTGTTGGTTTCAAAGAACATCTTTATTTCTGCCTTCATTTCGTTATGTACCCAGTATTCATTCAGGAGCAGGTTGTTCAGTTTCCACGTAGCTGAGCAGTTTTGAGTGAGACTCTTAATCCTGAGTTCTAGTTTGATTGCACTGTGGTCTGAGAGATAGTTTGTTATAATTTCTGTTCTTTTACATTTGCTGAGGAGAGCTTTACTTCCAACTATGTGGTCAATTTTGGAATAGGTGTGGTGCTGAAAAAAAATGTATATTCTGTTGATTTGGGGTGGAGAGTTCTGTAGATGTCTATTAGGTCTGCTTGGTGCAGAGCTGAGTTCAATTCCTGGGTATCCTTGTTAACTTTCTGTCTCATTGATCTGTCTAATGTTGACAGTGGGGTGTTAAAGTCTCCCATTATTAATGTGTGGGAGTCTAAGTCTCTTTGTAGGTCACTTAGGACTTGCTTTATGAATCTGGGTGCTCCTGTATTGGGTGCATATATATTTAGGATAGTTAGCTCTTCTTGTTGAATTGATCCCTTTACCATTATGTAATGGCGTTCTTTGTCTCTTTTGATCTTTGTTGGTTTAAAGTCTGTTTTATCAGAGACTAGGATTGCAACCCCTCCCTTTTTTTGTTTTCCATTTGCTTGGTAGATCTTCCGCCATCCTTTTATTTTGAGCCTATGTGTGTCTCTGCACGTGAGATGGGTTTACTGAATACAGCACACTGATGGGTCTTGACTCTTTATCTAATTTGCCAGTCTGTGTCTTTTAACTGGAGCATTTAGTCCATTTACATTTAAAGTTAATATTGTTATGTGTGAATTTGATCCTGTCATTATGATGTTAGCTGGTTATTTTGCTCATTAGTTGATGCAGTTTCTTCCTAGTCTCGATGGTCTTTACATTTTGGCATGATTTTGCAGCAGCTGGTACCGGTTGTTCCTTTCCATGTTTAGTGCTTCCTTCGGGAGCTCTTTTAGGGCAGGCCTGGTGGTGACAAAATCTCTCAGCATTTGCTTGTCTGTAAAGTATTTTATTTCAGGAAACAACAGGTGCTGGAGAGGATGTGGAGAAATAGGAACACTTTTACACTGTTGGTGGGACTGTAAACTAGTTCAACCATTGTGGAAGACAATGTGGCGATTCCTCAGGGATCTAGAAATACCATTTGACTCAGCCATCCCATTACTGGGTATATATCCAAAGGACTATAAATTATGCTGCTATAAAGACACATGCACACATATGTTTATTGCGGCACTATTCACAATAGCAAAGACTTGGAACCAAGCCAAATGTCCAACAAGGATAGACTGGATTAAGAAAATGTGGCACATATACACCATGGAATACTATGCAGCCATAAAAAATGATGAGTTCATGTCCTTTGTAGGGACATGGATGAAATTGGAAATCATTATTGTCAGTTAACTATCGCAAGGACAAAAAAACAAACACCGCGTGTTCTCACTCACAGGTGGGAATTGAACAATGAGAATACATGGACACAGGAAGGGTAACATCATACTCTGGGGACAGTTGTGGGGTGGGGGGAGGGGGGAGGGATAGCATTAGGAGAGATACCTAATGCTAGATGACGAGTTAGTGGGTGCAGCGCAGCAGCATGGCACATGTATACATATGTAACTAACCTGCACATTGTGCACATGTACCCTAAAACTTAAAGTATAATAATAATAAAATAAGAAGTAAAATAAATAAATAAATAAATAAAGAAGTTAAAAAGTGTTATTAAGTATAAATTACATAATTACATGTTAAGGAATGCCCAGAAAAGCCACTGATAAATTATTAGATTGAAAGAAATTTAAGAATTTTGAGAGATACAAAATGTTATATAAAGTCTATTTTCTTACCAGCAAAAAGAATACAATATAACTTTTAAAACAGCATTTGTACTGCAAAAAGGAACAACTGATGAATAAATCCAGCATCAACAATTTCAAATAAATTATAGAAATATTTCTAAACATTGTATTAATGAGATAATAGTTTTATTGGTCAGGGTTCTCTAGAGAGATGGAACTAATAAATATATATATTATACTATATATATTTATATATATAATATATAACTATATAGAGAGAATGCTATATATATTTAATATATAAATATATAGAGAGAACAATATATATAGGGTTCTCTAGAGAGATGGAACTAATATATATATAAATATATATATAAAATATATATATAAATATATATAATATATATATAAATATATATAATATATATATAAATATATATAATATATATATAAATATATATATAATGTATATATAAAAATATATATATGTGGAGTTTATTAAGAAGTATTACCTCAGGTGATCACAAGGTACCACAATAGGCCATCTGCAAGCTGAGGAGTAAGGAGGCTAGTCCGAGTCCCAAAGCTTAAGAAATTGGAGTCTGATGTCCAAGGGCAGGAAGCATCCATGACAGGAGCAAGATGTAGGCTGGCAGGCTAAGCCAGTCTAACCTTTTCACATTTTTCTGCCCGTTTTATATTCTGGCCACACTGGTAGCCTATTAGCTGGTATCCACCTAGATTATAGGTGGGTCTACCTTTCCCAGCTCACTGACTCAAATGTTAATCTCCTTTGGCAACACCCTCACAGACACACCCAAAAACAATACTTTGCATCCTTCAGCCAATCAAGTTGACACTCAGTATTAACCATCAGAATAGTTTATTAATTATTTGATATGATAGTATGTTTTGCAAAGTAAGTTATATTATAAAATTGTATACTTATAAAACATTATAAAGTATGAAATAATTTTATATTAGCTAATATATTTATACATTAAATACTATTTTGAAATGGCTATGTATAAATATATATACACACTACAGATGTAGTCACATATTGTTATATAATTTCCCATAAATTTTTTATAGATTTCATAATATGCTAATTAATATTGCAATAATTATTGTTGGAACTTGAAATGATAATTGTAAAATGAATACAGAATAGTACATAGCCAAGATGAAACAATACAAAACTGCAAAAGAAGAAAAGGGACATTTTCTATCAAATATGAGACAAAATTTATTTTAAAATCTAGTTAATGAAAATAGAAACATGGGACAAAACAGAAAGCCTATGGAAAATGTAAGTGATTTGTACTGTATTATTATAATATTATACAGCAATGAAATAAACCTTATTTGTGTGAATTAATCTCAAACAAATCAAAATAAATTGTCTTCCAATAGGAAAATTTCATGGTTTATATAGTGAAAACCAAATGTATATCTATATATCTATATATATATCTATATATATATATATAAAATTTAATATATACCATCTAATAAATACCTCAAGGCCTGGTGAAAAGAATGCTCATGTGAGCAATAAAAAAATCCTCACCATTCTTCACTGGTCTGTGGAGTGAAAGCCATAATGCTTAAACACACATGTGCACTCTCCTAACATTGGTCCTCTTTCATTACCCTTTACTATGGGATCAGAGACAATGTCATATACTAATCTCAAAAATTAAAAAGATGCATAAAGAAGTTCCCTGTCACCATCCTATTTTATTCACGGACATGGACTTTCCACAAGCCATAAAGACCATGGAGGAAGATTGTAAACTAATAAAAAGTTAATCAAATATTAGCTGCAATTGCAGCCTCTACTTTACCTGTGTTATCTTTATTACAAGATATTAGCACAGCGTCTGGAACTTGCCATATTTGCTAATGGGGGGAATGGAATCTTTCATTTTCCTCATCATTAATAAAAGTAAAAGCTTTTAGCATTTAACTGAGATTTTCAGCAGTAAAGATTTACTTCCTTGCTCCCAAGCCCTGTTCATGGTTCTGTCAAGGTTTCAATAGTTTGGAACATTTGAAAACATATTCTCCAAGATAACAAACAATCTGGTACCAAGAATGTAGCCATACCTTCAATAGGACCCTATGTATGTTGGAGAACGCATGTAGCAACCTTGGGAATACTGCATTACTTAACTTATCCGATAAATTAGAAAACTGTCAGCTTTAAGTGGAACCTGGATGCAAAAGGGGACTACAGATGGTTCAGGCTGCAGTGCCCCCTTTCCTGCTGCTCAGGCCACTTGGTCTGGCACACTTTGTGGCTCTTATGGTATTTGTAGTAGATAAGGACTCTGAAGAGAGTCTCTGGAAAGCCCCAAATGGGAAAATTATGGCACAGACATCATGATTCCTAAAACAGAGCATTATTTGTTTTTCACAAACAGATTTAATATGCTATTAGTCAAAACTGAGACTCTCACTATAGAACATTAAGTGATAACTGACTGGAAATGTACATCAAAAGGTGAATATTACTAGATAGCTAATCTGGGAGTTACAACAATGATCCATGGTAGGGTGGAAATACAATAATAAATCAATTTAAGTGTCAATTAATAAATAATATTACATTGTATATATACACATTAAATATATATCACATTTTAATGTGTATAAATTGAATAATACACAATAAAATAATATTTTAATGTCACACACACACACACACACAATGGAATATTATTCTACCATGTAAAGAAATGGGATCCTGTCATTTGCAACAACATCTGTGGAACTGGAAGACATTATCTTAAGTAAAATAAGCCAGGCACTGAAAGATAAATATCACATGTCCTCACTCATGTTGGGTAGCTAAAAAAATTGATCTCAGAGAGATAGTGAATGGAATGGTGGTTATCAGAGGCTGGGAAAGACAGTAGGTATGAGAAGATTAAGATAGATTGGTTAATGGGTAAAAAACTAGAGTTAATAGAAGGAATAAGATCTAGTGCTTGGTAGCACAATAGGGCAACTATAGTTAATCATAACCTTGTATATTTCATATAGATAGAAGGGTAGATTTGACATGTTTCCAACACAGAATAAAGATCAATGTGTGAGGTGATGGATATCCCATTTACTCAGTTTTGATTATTACACATGGTATACTTTTATCAAAATATCACACATACCCCATAAATATGTACAGATATTATGTATATATACGCATTAAGAATAAAGAGGTAAAAAATGATTTGACTTAAATAGGTCCAGAAAGCATAGTACATTAGATTAGCATGTCATCTAGGCCTAAAATTACCTATCTTTGTTTCACTGATGTTTTTCCTTCAGCATATATCTATGACCTCACTGGCTATTCTTTACATGTCAGCAGAGAGAGAAGGGGAAAATCCACAAAGCGTTATATCAGTATTTTGGTGTGGAAAGGAAAAGAATCACTACAAGTATATAGCTTCAATCAGTGGTGATAACGAAAGACAGTAGGAGAGCAGACATGTTTTAGTGGACATATACTTGAAGATTATCTACTTATTGGAAAGAAAAATGGTTGGAAATAAGAATTTTTGGCTAGTGACAAAATAAGAATTTTGGCTAGTGACTCCATCATCAAGGCCTTGGGATGGGGAACATTGACGGTCAGAGACAAGATGGCTAGAGGAAATGCCATGCAGGGGGACTTTAGGATGAGGAACATGGTATTCAGATTTTGTCTTATGTCTATGTCCTGTGGAGTACACTTTCCACATAGGAGGTGCTTAATCATCTGGTGTGCAAAATGACTTTTCCAGGGAAAGTCAGTCTTCAAACACTTCAGTGTTTGCACAGTGGATCTATTTAAGAAGTAATCTATGTGTTATCTCAACCCCATTGGGTCCCTCTTATCCAAGGTAACCTAACTACTGCTGAGTTAATGCTCAGTATATGACACACTAGCAACAGAGACCAATGCTGAACCTTCAATATCATATCCCTTGAATAGATCAACCAGGCACTTTGTGGAAAAGAATTATATATGACTACTTTCAACTTGAGATCTGAATCATTTGTCCTGAATGAGATTAGTATGTGTTCTAGGTATGCATTTCCCTTTTCTGGAAAACATTTTCTCTATGAACACCACATATAGAATCACCACAGAATATCTGGATTAATAAAATTAAATCCTGCAAAACATCACCTCAGATGAAAAATCTAACATTGTGGTAAATAAGGTACAAGAATGCATCCTGAACCAAAGGACCTACTTGTCCTATTATGTATCATTCGGAAGATACTATCATAATAAATCATTGGAATAGATTTTTAAAGTTTCATTTAAAATTCTAATTTGGGAACAATATCTAGGAAAATTAGAGCACTGTTTTTCAAAATGTGGTACCTATGTTACACTAATAATCTTATTTGATGCTGAGAGATAAGAGTGACTAGGATCAGGAACCAGTGAAAACAGAATTGGTCATTCTCACCAAAAGCCTACTTACAGACTTGGAAATATGTGCTTTCTTTGAAACGCAGTCTATGTAATTCTGAAAGTCCAGGTAACTACAAGTAGAATGGTCACGTCTCCAGGGGACAAGAGCAGGGTCTCAAAGAACCTAGATCTAAATCCAGGACTGATAACTAATCATTTTTGGCTCCTCATGCTATACTCAACAGGAATATAAAGGAGTTACAATGATGGCAGAAGTAATTATCCCTAGTTATCATAAAGGGCCAGAATTGCTATTACACAATGGAGCAGTGATAAGTATGTCTGAGATTCAAATGAGTCACTGGAACACCTCCTGGGGCTTACTTGCTTAGTACAACAACCATAGCCTGTCAAGGTCATGATATCCAGGAATTTCAAACATTCTAGTTCATAATCAAAATTTAACACAGATTATATTCAATTACTCCTTGTGTACACAGGCATTTATCAAAAATGTATTGGAGATCAAACGATGAACTCACCTAAAATAGCTGTAATAACCAGCAGATTATGTAATGGCAAACCTACAGTTTTCTGAATATTAAAATAATAAAATTAAATATGTATGTATATGTGTATATATATATAGCAGAATTCCCATGCAATTATAAAATAATTCATATATTTATGCCTATGTGTTTATGTGTATAAACACACACATAACACAACTTGGGTTTTTTACATTGTATTATTTTAGTTACATATTACTTAGCCATGCAAAATCACGCAACTAGAACTAGTGAAGTCTGCAAACTCATCTTAGTTAATGAATATGAATACAACTTGTGATTATACATTCCCTGTGAAGCAAAAATACATTGGAATCAGACTTTCAGTGTTCTGTCATATTATCATACCTGTATAAAGTGCCTATTTGTTTTATCAACCCAAATTTACAAATAATTATAAACTAATCTCTCAACATGCCCTTAAGGGGAGCATCGACTTATATTTATTGGAATTTTAAAAAAGCATAGGCCACTTATCTAACGTTTCAAGCAATGTCTATAACAAATACATTGTGTTATTACATAATATATCAATAATTAGATATCTCATTTAACATAATGTAAAATTTGCTACAGAGTGTTAAAAACCATGTTTTTCTTATTCAACTTGCTGTTTGAAGTAGAAGACAAACACGGGCACATGCATTGTAAAGGTCCGTTATATTTTTACCATATTTTCAAGGAGAAATAGTGTTCCATCACGTTTTCAAAGAAAAAATAATAATTTAGGTGTGAATTTAAAGAAGAATCAAACTGTAGTAACATACATTTATTTATTTATTATTAAAAATAATCTGGGATACTGAAACCTCATATATATTAAAACAAAATTTGGAACTTAAGACATGAGGATTTTTTAGACCACATCAGGGATAATAATTCAAAATATTCAGAGGTCAGAAGACTGTAAGAAGCATCATTTTTCTTATAATATTTTTTCTCACACAAACTCCTGAAATAAAACATGATGATCTCCATTCTTACACATGAGAAAAATGAGACTGAGGAAGCGTGAGATAGGACACTTCTTTTTACATTATTGTTATTATTTATTTTTAGAGATTTAGGGAGTACAAGTAACAAAACTGCACTTGTACCCCCTAAATCTCTCTCTCTCTCTTTTTTTTTTTGTTTGTTTTTTTGAGATGAAGTCCCGCTCTGTTTCCCAGGCTGGAGTGCAGTGGCGCAATTTTGGCTCACTGCAACCCCCGCCTCCTGGGTTCAAGCAATTCTCTTGCCTCAGACTCCTGAGTGGCTGGGATTACAGACACACGTCACCATGCCCAGTTAATTTTTTTGTAGTTTTAGTAGAGACGAAGTTTTGCCATGTTGGCTGGGCTAGTCTCGAACTCCTGACCTCAGGTGATCCGCCTGCCTCGGCCTTCCAAAGTGCTAGGATTGCAGGTGTGAGCCACTGCGCCAGGCCCCGTACCTTCTAAATCTCTAAAAATAAAATCCAATGGATATTTGGCACAGTGGTGAGGTCTGGGCATTTAATGTACCCATCACCCAATTAGTGAACATCATATCCAATAGATAATTTTTCAAACTTTACCCCCATCCCACCCTCCCTCTTTTTGGAAAATCCATTGATTATTATTCCACTCTGTATGTTCATGTGTACTTATTGTTTACCATCTACCTATAAGTGAGAGCGTGTACTATTTGACTTTCTGAGTTGTTTCACTTAAGGTAATGACCTCCAGTTCCATCTATGCCATTGCAAAAGACATTATTTTACTGTTGTTGTTACCTTTTTTTAACGCCTGAGTGGTATTCCATGCTATATATACCACATTTTCTTTATCCAATCATCTGTTGATAGACACTTAGTTAATTCCGTGACTTTGCTATTATGAATAGGGCTGAGATAAACATATAAATGCAGGTGCCTTTTTGATATAATGATTTCTCTTGTTTTCTTTTTATCATTATTTTTTATTGTGGCTAGTAGAAATTATTTCTCATCCTTTATTTTAGGTTCAGGAGTACACATGCTGGTTTGTTGCATGGATAAATTGTGTGTCACCTGGGGTTTGGTGTACAGATAATTTTGTCACCCAGGTAATTAGCATAATACCCAATAGGTAGTTTTTCAATCATCAGGTAGATACCCAGTAACTAGATTGTTTGATCAAATGGTAGCTCTACTTTTAATTCCTTGAGAAATCTGCGTACTGTATTCCATAGAATTATACACATTTTCATTCCCACCAACAAAGTATAAGCACTCCCCTTTCTCTGCATCCTTGCCAGCAATGGTTGTTTTTTGACTTTTAAAAATAGCTATTCTGACTGGCATAAGGTGGTATCTCTTCATGGTTTTACTTTACATTTCTCTGATAATTATTAATGTTGAGCATTTTTATAAGGTGTTGGTAATTTGTATATCTTGTTGTTATTTTTAATAAACCTGTTCATTTTATTTACCCACTTTTTAATGGGGTTGTTTTTTCCTTGTTGAGTTGAGTTTCTTGAAGAATCTGGATGTTAGTCCTTTGCCAGGTACATAGTTCACAAATACTTCTTTTTTTTTTTCCATTCTGTAGGTTGTCTATTTAATCTGTCGATAGCTTCTTTTGCTGTATGGAAACCTTATAGTTTAATTAAGTCCCATTTGTAGATTTTTGGAGTTGATGTGTTTTCTTTTGAGGATTTAGTTGTAAATTTTTGGCCTAGGCCAATGTCCAAAAGGGTTTTCTCTAAGTTTTCTTTTAGACTTTTATAGTTTTAGGTCTTACATACAAGTCTGTTATTCATCTTGAGTTAATTTTTGTATATGTTGAAATATAGGTGTCCAGGTTTATTCTCCTGCATATGGCTATCCAGTTTTTTCAGCACCATTTATTGAATAGCATCTCCTCTCCCCACCATGTATTTTTGTCAACATTGTCCAATATCTGTTGGTTATACACATGTAGCTTTATTTCTTGGGTCTCTATTGTGTTCCATTGATCTATATGTCTATTTTTATACCATTATCATGCTGTTTAGGTTATTAAAGGCTTGGATGCAGTATAGTCTAGTGAATGTGATGCCTTCAGCTTTGTTTTTTTTTTTTTTTTTGGCTAAAGATTGCTTTGTCTCTTCAGGTTCTTTTTTGGTTCCATATGAATTTTAAGATGTTTTATAATTCTGTGAAAAATGATGTTAATATTTTGATAGGAATTTTGTTGAATCTGAAGGTAGCTTTGGGCATTATATCCAACTTAAGGATATTGATTCTTCCAATCCATTAGTGAGGAATATTTCTACATTTCTTTGTGTCTCTATGATTTCTGTCAGCAGTGTTTTGTAGAACTCCTTGTAGAACTATTTTAACTCCTTGGTTAAAGGTGTTTTAGGTATTTTATTTGTTGTAGCTATTATAAATTGAATTGAATTCTTAATTTTGCCCTCAGCTTGAATGTTATTGGTGTATCAATATTGCTATTGATTTTCATACATCGATTTTGTATCCTGAAACTCTACTGAAGTCACTTATCAAATCTATGAGTCTTTTGGAGGAAGTCTTTGTATTTTCTATGTATATGATTATATCATCAGTGAATAGAGATAACTTGATTTCCTCCTTTCCAATTTGGATGCTTTTTATTTATTTATCTTGCCTGATTGCTCTAGATAGAACTTACACTACTACATTAAATAAGACTGGTAACACTGGTCATCATTTTCTGTTTCAGTGCTTAGCACTATTGCTTTCAAATTTTCCTCATTCAGTATGATGTTGACTGTGGGTTTTTTGTACATGACTTTTATCAATTTGAGGTATATTCTTTCTATGCCTAGTTTATTGATAGTTTTTGTTATGAAAAGATGATAAATTTTATCAAATGCTTTTTGGCATCTATTGAGATGATCATATAGTTTTTCCTTCATTCTATTTATGTGACTTAACACATTTATTGATTTACGTACGCTTAAATAATCTTGTATCACTGTAATAAAATGCATTTGGTTGTGATGTATTATTACCTTTTTGATGTGCTGTTAGTTTGCTAGTATTTTGTTGAGGTTTTTGCATCTATGTTTACCATGGATGTTGACCTGTAGTTTTCTTTTTTCTTTTTTGGTTTGTTTTTGCATGGCTTTGGTATCAAGTTGATATGGGCTTCATAGAATGAGTGAGGAAGGATTCTCTCCTCTTTGATTTTTGGGAACATTTTCAGTAGGATTGGTACCAGTTCTTCTTTGTACATCTGTAGAATTCAGCTGTGAATTCATCTGGTACTGAGCTTTTTTTGTTGTTGATGGGAAAAGTTTTATTACTGATTCAAACTTATTAATCATTATTGGTCTGTTCAGAATTTATATTTTTTCCAGTTCAATATTGGGAGGTTGTACGCATCCAGGAATTTGTCAATTTCCTCTATGTGTTACAGCTTGTGTTTATAGAGATGCTCATGGTAGTCTCTGACAGTATTTTTTTGTATCTGTGGTATCCGTTTTAATGTCACCTTTATCATTTTTGATGATGGTTATTTGATTCACCTCTCTCTTTTTCTTGGTTAATCTAGCTAGTGATGTATCAGTTTTGTTGATTTTTTCAAAAAACAAACTTTTCATTTTGTTTGTTTTTTGTTCTCACTTTCATTTAGTTCTATGCTAACATTATATTATTTCCTCTTCTGCTAACTTTATATTTGGTTCACTGTGGTTTTCTAGTTCCTTGAGGTATAATGTTAGGCTGTTAATGTGGGACCTTTCTATGTTTTTGATGTAGGCATTTAACATTATAACCTTCCCTCTTTAGAATCGCTTTTGCTGTATCCTAAAGGTTTTCATATGGCGAGTCTTTATTTTCTTTAATTTAAATTGTTTTTTATTTCTTAATTGTATCATTTACCCGAAAATCATTAAGGACTAAGTTGTTTAATTACCATTTTTGTGTACAGTTCTGAGAGATTTTCTTAGTATTGATCTCTAGTTTAATTCCACTGGGATCTGAGAAGATACTTGATATGATTCTGGTATTTTAAAATTAATTTAGAATTGCCTTGTGGCCTAGTATTTGATGTATTTTGGAAAATACCTCATGTGCAGATGAGAAGAATGCATCTTATGTGGTTGTTGTATAGAATGTTCTGTAAATATCTGTTATGTTCATTTCATCTAGAGTTCAATCTGAGTCCAGAGATTCTTTGTTGACTTTCTGCTTCTATGACCCATCCAGTGCTGTCAGTGGAGGGTTGAAGTTTACCACTATTATTATATAACTGTCTATTTCTTTTCTTAGGTCTAGTAATATATATTTTTTTAATCTGAGTGCTCTGGTGTAGAGGGCATATCTATATACATATCTATATGTATACATATACATATATGTACATATATATAAAAAATATTTTACTGTTGCGGTTTTAAAATGTTTTCTCTGATATAAGTATAGCTACTCCCATTTGCTTCTGGTTTCTGTGTGCATGGAATATCTTTTTTCCATCTCTTTACTTTTAGTCTGCAAATGACTTTACTAGTTTCGTGGGTTTCTTATAAGCAACATATGCTTAAATCTTGTGTTTTATCTATTACATCAGTGTATTTCTGCTAAGTGGAAATTTAGTCCATTTATGTTCAAGATTAATATTGCTATCTGAGATTTTCTTACTGTCATAATATTAACTGTTATCTAGATGCTGCGTAGTTCCAATTGTGTAACTGCTTTATAAGATCTGTGAGTTTTTTACTTTCACATGTTTTTATGATGGCAAGTATTGCCCTTTCTTTTCAATGTTTAGAACTCCTTTGAAAATTTTTTTCTTCTATGAATGGTCTAATGGTGTGGAATTCCTTAGCCTTTGCTTGTATGGGAAAGACTTTAGTTCCCCTTCATTTATGGCGCTAAGTTTAGCAGGACACAAAATTGTTGGCTGACAAATTTTTCTTTGGAAAGACTGAAAATAGGACCCCAATCTCTTCTGGACTGTAAGATTTTTGCTGTAAAGTTTACTGTTAGTCTAATGGTATTTCCTTGATAAGTTATTAGATGTTTTTCTTTTGGGTTTTTTTTTTTTTTCTTTTTTCTTTTTTTGAGTCGGAGTCTCGCTCTGTCACCCAGGCGGGAGTGCAGTGGCTGGATCTCAGCTCACTGGAAGCTCCGCCTCCCGGATTCACGCCATTCTCCTCCCTCAGCTTCAGGAGTAGCTGGGACTACAGGCGCCCGTCACTATGCCCTGCTAATTTTTGTACTTTTAGTAGAGACGGGGTTTCACCGTGTTAGCCAGGATGGTATCGATCTCCTGACCTCGTGATCTGCCCGCCTCAGCCTCCCAAAGTGCTGGGATTACAGGCGTGAGCCACCGCGCCCGGCCTCTTTTGCTTCTTTTAGGATATTTTTCTTCACATTAACTTCGGAGAGTCTGATGACTATATGCCTTAGTGAAGTTCATCTTACAAATTATTTTTCTCTGGGCTTTTTGCACCTGAATGTCTAAATCTCTAGCAAAACCAGCGAAATTGTTCTGAATTATTTCCTCAAATACACTTTCTAACTATTTACTTTTTTTAATCCCTCAGAAACAACTCTTATAAGTTTGGTTGTTTTACATAAATCCCGTATTTCTCAAAGACTTTGTTCATTTTTTTTTCTTTATTTTTATCTGACTGGGTTAATTTGAAAGACCTGTCTTCAAGTTCTGAAATTCTTTCTTTGGCTTTGCCTAGCCTATAAATAAAGCTTTCAGCAGTATTTTGTAATTCTTTCAATTTTTTTTTTATTTCCAGAAATTTTTTTTAAATATGTCTTTAGTGAATTTTTCATTCATATTTTCAATGGTTTTTCTAATGTCTTTGTGCTGCTTTTCAAGTTTCTCTTTGATCTCACTGAATTTCCCTACAATTCACATTTTAAATTCTTAATCTGTCATTTTATAATTTTCTTTTTATTTAGGAGCCATTGATAAAGAGCTAGTGTGATCCTCTGAGAACATCAAAACAGTCTATTTTTCATGTTGTCAGAGTTATTATGCTGATTCCTTTTCATCTGGAGAAGATACTACTACTTATTTTTGAATTTGCTTTTGTTCGAGAGGGATTGCCTCTACTTTGAGGGTGTGACTCTAGTGTATGTTTGGTAGGGTCCTTTGGCTTTGGTTCTGAGTGCTTCCAGGGAACCAAGGCTCTATGAATTCTTTGGTTATGGATAGTTTTAGTATGGTGGTTTTCTCAAATGCTGGTTGTTTGTAGGTTGTAGCAGTGGTATACTGGGTATGTGAGCACAGTCACTGCCTCCTGCAGAGATGGTAAGGTGGATTTCTTAGGAAGCTTATCTCATTTCCCAGCCCTGTGCACTTCTGAAAACAGGTATTGTATTGGGTGGTGCAGGTCATCTTCCCAGCCAGTAAGTGGTGCTTGCAGGAGAGAGACAGCTGAGAAGGTAGCAGTGAGATTTATGTGTGATCTGTAAAAATTGGAAGTACTTGAATAAACCAGGTGATGGGAAGGACCATAGAACCCAGGGTTTTCTTTCCCATGCTGTGCCTCTGAAGTGGGTCGAGGGAACACAGCCAAGTTGGGCCAAGTTGAACCATCCTGTATCTAGGCTTTCCAATGGCAGGTATGAGTACTGACCTTCATAGGAGATAGCAAGCAGCTCTCAGGGCACTGGGGTATCTTTTCAGGAAGAGGCAGAGGTGCTTCTCTCACACCAAAGGGCCTTCATGGAGGAGAGAGGGGCAGGTCAGGAATCACAGCCCAGTAGAGGGCCATGGGACCCACCCACCTTCCACACCCCCAAACTGGAGGGTCTTCTCTGGCATCTGCCACTGGCAGCATGCTAGAACAGCTAGCCCACTCCAAAGCAGTCTGCATTCCGATTGTGATGCCATTCCAGGATGAAGGACTCCCTGTCCAGCCCTCAGGTTATAGACTTCCTGGTCCAGTCCTGCAAAGGAGGGGCACCCAGCTCCCATGCTGCAGCATGAATCCATGTCACACATTTTTTTTTTTCTTCTTGAGATGGAGTCTCGCTCTGTCACCCAGGCTGGAGTGCAATGGCGCGATCTCGGCTCGCTGCAACCGCTTTCTCCCTGGTTCAAGCAATTCTCCTGCCTTGGCCTCCCAAGTAGCTGGGACTACAGGCACCTGCCACCACGCCAAGCTAATTTTTTTTGTATTTTTAGTAGAGACAGGGTCTCACCGTCTTAGCCAGGATGGTCTCCATCTCCTGACCTAGTGATCTGCCTGCCTCGGCCTCCCAAAGTGTTGGGATTACAGGCGTGAGCCACCGCGCCTGGCCCATGCCACATTCTTCTCTTGGTTTTGACGATGGGGGCTCTTTTTCCACTCAAGATCAGATCACAAATCTCATCTCTATGCCCCAGAAGGCATGCTCAAGTCCTAGGAGTGTTACTGGGGGTCCTTGCTCCCAGAGCTCCCAAGATGGTGGCAGGCCACTTCCAACATGGCGGGGAGGCTCTTGTTCTCTGACCTGGGGTTCTTGGCCTCATGGATTCCAAGGAATGAAATCTTGGACCATGCAGTGAGTGTTACAGCTCTATTAGAAGTGGTGGGTCATGGAAGAGAACCATGGAACCCAGCAACCAGCGTTCAGCTTGATTAGGATGAACCCAGGCACTTAGCTGTGCGGGAACAATGGCAAGCCTTTAGCCCTATCCAGAGCAGCAATGGGCGCCTCGCTGGATCAGGAGCGCAGCCGACACCCTGCGATATCCAGAGGGGTGGAAGTCAGCGGTGGGTCTGCGACGGCGGCAAACAGCAGTGTTGGATGGTGAGCGAAAGCTCGGCTCAAGCCCTAACAAACAGAGAACAGAAGAGTGTGCAGTTGCAAGATTTAATAGAGTGAAAACAGAGCTCACATACAAAGGGAGGGGACCCAAAGAGGGTAGCCACTGCCAGCTGGAATTCCTGGCTTTATATCCCGATCATTGTTCCTCCCCCTGTGCTCTCAGGTGATAGATGATTGGCTATTTCTTTACCTCCTGTTTTAGCCAAGTTATCATTTTAGTGAGCTCTCCTTACTACCTAATTGGTCAGGTGCCAGCTAAGTTGCAAGCCCCGTGTTTAAAGGTGGATGCAATCACCTTCCCAGCTAGGCTTAGGGATTCTTACTCGGCAGAGGAAATCCAGCTAGTCCTGACTCTCAGGAGGATAGGACCAGGCCAGAGAAATTGTCCTTGAGACCCTTGGACTCAAGTGTTGGCTGTGATGAAGATGGCAGGCTGGTCCCAGGACACCAATCAAACACTCAGGCAGGACAATGGCCACTGTGTTGCAGTGCTGCCAGCAGGAAGGGCAGGCCCATCTACATGGGAATGATCATGTGGGCAGCTTTGGGGTATTTCAGACGGTGTGGGGAGCATGGTCTGAATGTGCCTTGCTCCGGCAGCAGCATGCAGTAGTGGCAGTGGTACTTAGGGCATGTGAGAGCACCCTGCCTCTCCTATCCCTGACCCAGCAGCATGCAGTAGTGGCAGTGGTACTTAGGGCATGTGAGAGCACCCAGCCTCTCCTATCCCTGACCCAGCAGCTGGCAGCAGCAGCAGCAGCAGCAGCAGCCGCCTCAGGGCAGGAGGCAGAGCCTTCAGGCGTGGGGTCCCGGTATGGCTTTGTGCTGCAGCTACCCAGCACTTGGAAGCCTGTGGTACTCCATGAGAGTTTGAGCAGAGCCTCTGCACAATCTCTAGGTAGCTCCCTACGCTAGTCTAGAGGCCTGTGGGGATCTGGGAGGTATCTTGTATTCAGGATTATAAAGGTTACTGGCAGATATGTGGAGCTCCAGGGGTCTCTCCTTGGCTCTATGAAAGGGGCACTTGCCCCTTCTCTGGGTCCAGGGACAGCTTTTGGCTCCCAGCAACCCCAAGCTGGCAGCCCTGCTTTCCTCTTCCTTCACCCTCAGTGTGTCCCATCACCACTCTGTTGAATTCCAGTGTTCCTTCCAACGATCTCTTTAAAGTGTGAATATCTACTCCGTTTGGTTATTCTCCATCGGAGAGACATTCTTCAGATGCACTTACTCAGTCATCTTGAATCCAGAGAACAGAATTTGGACCTAGAAACATAACATGAAGTTATGTTTGTGAGTATCTGATCATAGGATTTGGAAAATTATGAAGACAGTTTCAGTTGCATACAGGTAATTCTGTATATAAATTTAAATAATCTTGAAATAAACACTTTTCATGAATTAAATGATACAAATCCTAGCTATTGAATTAAATCTAAAAGAAATCATCGACTACAACTATTTTGAGAACTATCCTTCCCAAAGGGATGCAAATTTATATACTCATAGGAGTTGTCTGACCTGGGATTAAAGCAGTAGAATAAGAAAAAAAAGTCTGGATATTCTGGTCATTTCTATTTTTTTCCTTTGAGTCTATTATCTTGATTAACAGGCATTTTCCACTTTTTAAGTGTCCAATGTTTAAAATTACTTACTTTGGTTTAACTACTTTGGAGGGATAAGGAGAATTAAAATAGGTTGTAAATTATTAAAATGGCACAGATGCCATTCTTCAACAGAGGTTATTTAATAATCCTAAAGTTAAAAAGCTAGTAAGTGGCAGAGCTGAAAGTCAAAGTTCTGCCTGAATGCAAATTGCTCGATTTTTTTTTAACTACACAAATTATCACTGTACTTCAGGATTCTAAACCTCTCAGAAAAATAGAATAATAATTTTTAACAAAAATCTAATCCTTGCAATGTAGCATTTGAGAGAAAGTAATTAAACGATTTGAAATCCACAAATTTTCCATCAGGAATCCGAAAACAAACTGAAGTCCTAAATAAAATGAACATAGTAGACAACTCAGGCAACATCACTTACGTGCTGTAGGATTTTTCTTCCGAACTTTGCACTCTAGAGTGAGTCAATGAGCCAATAAAGACAAATTTGCTTAGATACGTACTTATGTTTAAACCTAAAACAAAAAACAGGCTTCCTGTCTTTTTCCGTCATTCTCACTCAAATATTATTTTTTAAAATGTCATTATTTTATTAACCAGCAATTGTTAATTCAAGAAACAAATATGATGGAAAGGGCTGGAGGGAGGAAGCTTCTAATATACTATTTGTGTTTCCTCAGGGAAGTTATATAACTTCTCTGACCTTCAGTCTTCTCATTTGCACATTCAGAAAGTTGTAGAAATTTGAAGAAATTGGGTATAAAATACCCTTAGTATAATATCCAAAAGAGTATTTTTTTTCTAAAATCTAGTCTGTTATTATTTTCATCATATTAGCAAACCAGCAGTTCTCCACTAAGGCTTATGACAAAGTTGGTGTAAATCTCCTACCATGTTCCTTCAATAAAGGGGCAACTCAGTAGGGACCCAACTGTAGGTGCTTTTCTTGATAAATAACACAAATCAAATAATGTGGCTCATCTAATCCAGCAGTATGCCACACATTAATATTCTAGGCAAGAAGATAGAGAAAAAGTAAAATGATTTTGGCTTTTGTTTTTGTCATGGGAGACTCCTTCCAGCAGATATTCTGTCATGTCTGATTAGTAAGAACTCAGTTAAGGGAACTGAGGTTAACAGTAGTAATTTTGCTCAGTCATTATTCACCCTCTCAGATTGGGGTTGGACCTACCTCATTTCAGGTCAAGGAATCTTGAACTAACTTAAATCAATATTTCATTATCTGGGATTAATAGTAAATCTAATATTAGAAGTAATCTGCCATTTAGGATTAAATAATGAGTTCCATTAGTCTTTTGGACCATTCATATTTAAAGAGGTTATTAATATAGTGAACTAAAAACTATTATCTTTGCTATTTTCTATTTGTTCTTTGTTCCTTTTATTGATTTTTTTCTGCCTTCTCTGGATTTAAGAATATTTTATTATTAAGTTGTATCTCTTTTATTTATTTTATATAACAATTCTTTTGACTTTAAAAATGGTTTCCCTAGAGTTTAGTGTATGAATATTAGATGAGTCTACTTTGAAATATATTAAATCACTTTATTTGCAGTGTAATGACCTTATTACATAAAATTCCAAGTATTTTCTCCTATTTTTATGCCATTGTTTTCATACTTTTCACTTATGCAGATGATATAAGCACACAAAACATTGCTACGTTTTTGCTTTAAACAGTCCATTATCATTAGAGCAATTCACAATAAGAAAAAAGCGTTTTACCTACATCTACTCTATTTCCAAAGTTATTGACATATAATATTCCTTCTTTCTGAATAACTTCCTGTAATATTTTTTATAGACTATGTCTGGCAACATATGAATCTGTTTTTGTCTAAGGAAAACTTAATTTCTACTTCTTTTGAAGAACACTTTGCTGGTTATAGTAATGTGGGTTGACTGCTCTTCTTTCAGCACTTTAATGATATCATTACATTGACTTTCTGCATGCATGGTTTTTGATAAGACTGCTGGAAATATGATCTTTGTTATAGGATGGTATTGTGTCTTCGTTCTCTGCCTGTTTTCAAGATTTTCACCTGTGGTTGATTTTCAGCAGTAGAAATACGATGTGTAATGTACTTAGGTAAGTTTGTGTATGTCTGTGTGCATGTGTGTTTCCTTTTGAGGGGGTTGAGGGAGGTATATATCATGTTTATTGTTCTAGTTTCATACATCTCTGGTTTGCTGTCTTTCAGCAGTTTAATTACCTTCTTTTACCCATCTGGGATTTATATTACACTCACAATTGGTGGTTTGATATTGTTTCATAGCCCTTAGATGTCTGTTCTTTTTAAAATTTTCTTTTTTACTCTTTATGTTTCATTTTAGGTAATTTCTATTAATCTACCTTCAAATTCACTTATTCTTTCCATGGTTGTATCTATTCTACTGATAATCCTACCAAAGACATTTTTCATCTCTTTACTGTTTTTTTATTTCTAATATTTCCATTTGATTTCTTCTTATATGCTCTGTATCTCTGCTGAATTTGCCTATCAGATATTGGATGCTGTATATGTTTTTTGTTAGAACCTTTAATATACTAACTATATTTATTTTACATTATCTGTTACATAATATCAACTTTTGTGTTATATCTGATTCTATTCTGATTTTTTTTTTAATCTGTTAGGATTGTGGTGATTTTGCTTGTCTTTCACATGCCTCAATATTTGTTTAAATGCAGATGTACTACGTAGAAGAGTAGAGACTGCAGTAAATAGGTTTTATGCCTGGAGATGAAGGCATTATTTTTTTTTGTTTAGAATGTTGATGTGGGGGCTAATGTAAATCTGGTTAAGAGTTGCTCTAAATTTAAAATTTACTGTTGCTATTTACCCAAAATGCAGCAACATTTTCAAATTCCTGTAAAGCTACTTCTTGCCTAAGGCGGAGTAAAGCTTACAAGGTCAATTTCTGTTAGATTTTGAGTTACATGTTTTTCCTTTGTGCCTCAGATTCAGTCCTTGCATACTCTTGTTCCTTGCTTATTTCTCTCTCAGCAATTTTTGTTGTTATTTATTTGAAGCCTGTTAGTTGGGTAGTGCAAGATGTTAGAGAAGCAGGAGGTAGATATGTTTGATTGTTTTTTCTGGCTTAGTTTTAGACCAGTATCATGTACCTGGGTCTTGGTGGTATGGCCTTCTCTGCCCCTTTCCTGGTTGTAGCTATGGGTTGAGTGTGTAATACTGCTCCTCTTCTAAGAATAGATCTTTAGCCCCTTCCTGATTCCTTCTACTGGTTACAATAGGAGTTTAACAATGTCCTAAGGTCAGTAGTGCTACTGCATGGACCATTGGAAATTAAAGTTTTTGTTTCATAGTGAAGATGGTAGAGAAAAATTTGGGCAGTGTTTCTTCCCCCTATTGCATAACTGCTGTTTCACTACTCATTTCTGCACCATTATGGACATTTAAGGGTCTTTAAGATGCTTCCTGTGAGTGTCTGGTGGGGTTTCTGCAGGAAAAGCCTTAACAATGAATACATATTGTTCTTAACAAAGAATACATATATATAGTATATATACCACATATATACATATATAGTATATATACCATATATATACCATATATATACCATATATACACATATATAGTATATATACCATATATACACATATAGTATATATATCATATATACATATATGGTATATATACCATATATATACATATATATACATTATATACGTATATATAACATATATACATATATATACCATTATATATGTATATAAGATTATATATATGCCATTATATATACCATATATATATATACCATTATGTACATATATATACTATATATAATGGTATATACAATAAATATATATAATGGTGTGCGTGTGTGTGTATATATATATATATTTATAAAATGTATTTTTGTTTGCTTGTTTTTTGAGACTCAGTATCATTCTGTCTCCCAGCAGGAGTGCAGTGACGTGGTCTCGGCTCACTGCAACCTCTGCCTCCCAGGTTCAAGTGATTCTCCCATCTCAGCCTCCAAGAGTGGCTGCCACCACACCCGGCTAATTTTTGTATTTTCAGTAGAGACAGGGATTCGCTATGTTGGCTAGGCTGCTCTTGAATGCCTGACGTCGTGATTCACCCGCCTTGGCCTCCCAAAGTTCTGGGATTACAGGCATGAACCACCACACCCGGCCATGGTGTAATTTGGATCTGTTTCTAGGCTCTCTGTCTTTCATGCCAACCCACCCTTCCCTCCGCACTCTGGTGCTTTATCTTTTCTTGTGCCAGTCTTACACTCTCTAAATTCATGTGACAGTTTTTGTTGTTGTTGTTGTTGTTGTTTTGTTTTGTTTTGAGACAGAGTTTTGCTTTGTTGCCCAGGCTGGAGTGAAGTGGCAGGATCTCAGCTCACTTCAACCTCGCCTCCTGGTTTCAAGCAATTCTCATGCCTCAGCCTCCTGAGCGGCTGGGATTACAGGTGCCTGCCACCACACCCGGCTGCTTTTTTGAATTTCAGTAGAGACGGGGTTTCACCATGTTGGCCAGGCTGGTCTCGAACTCCTGAGCTCAGGCAATCCGCCCTTCTCGACCTCCCAAAGTGCTAGGATTACAGGTGTGATCCAACGCGCCCAGCCATTTAATGTAACTTTGGAATCAGCCTTTAAGTCTAGCAGTGTGAGTCCTTCAGCTTTGTTCTTCAAAATTTGCTTGACTATAATATTTTCTATACCTTTAATTTTTTATAATTTTATTTCTGTTTTTTTGGCAACTAGATTGAGAATAGTTTACAATTATCTTTAATTTAATAAACTTCATCTTTGAGAGTAGGATATATTGAATAGGACATGATGGTAGTTTTAATATAATTATCAGGTAATCAATATTACGGGAAATAATAGACTTAAAAATTACATATTTAACAGGGCTATCAGTAAACATCTGTATCTTTCGTTTACACAATTCCTTTCTTCTTTTAAGACTTTTAAGATCTAAGTTAAAAAATATAAATGTTATGTTAAATTTTTTGGAAACAAAATCAGAGATAAAAAATATTGGGCTTAACGCATTATAAAATTTTGGATGCATAAATATGAATACTATCCATATTCTTATCCAATTAACTAGCATCTTGGTTCAACTCTTCCAGCATATTACATATGGAATCTGGATGTCTCTTTAAATAATTTGCAGTACTAAAAGCTGCCAAGATTTTGAATTCAGACGTTTTACATAATTCAACACAGAAGTTTAATAAGATAATTCCTTTCTAGAGCTAAAACTTTTAGTAAGAAGTTAAACATTTTTGTCATTTATTAAGCTAAATAAATCTCATCTTCAGCTCTATGTTCATAACCGGGAGATCAGCATGATACCAATAAGGGAACAAGAATAATACTTATCAAAACTTATCTAGTTACTCCAGTCAAAACGTATGGAGTCATCACTTATTTACCTTATTCATGTCCTTATCCAATGAATTTGCACTTTGATTCAGCTGAACTAACATAATACATATGGAATCTGGCTGTTTCTCGTCACCTTCACCTTTACCATTTACATCCAGCCACCTGAACTCTGGCAAACACATTGTAACTAAATCCTCTTTTGGAAAAGCCTGTTTTCCACAAAACTAAAGATTTTTGAAAATCATAAGGCAGATCATATCAAACCTTGCTCATAACTCTTTTTGAACTCACAATACACTTGACATTAAACCCCAATGCTCACAGAGCCTCTAAGATGTCACCTACAGTAGAACCTGATATCTCAAACCTGATGTCCTTCTACTTTTGCTTAGGCCACTATGTGCTATCTGCTTTAACCTCCTTACTCTTTAAATGTGTGAAGTAGACTCCTATCTCAGGTCTTTTGTATTGGCTTTTTCCTCTCTTGGAATGTTCTCCTTTAAGATATTTGTACAACTTGTTACATTGACTTATGTTTCTGCTAGTTGTCATTGATGTAGAGGACATTCTGACTACTCAATCTAAAATTTCACCAATTTCTTTTTGAGTTTCTCCCATTTTTTGACATATCCGTTTACTTGTTTTTTAATTGTTATAATACTTTAAGTTCTAGGATACATGTGCAGAACATGCAGGTTTGTTACGTAGGTATACACGTTCCATGGTGGTTTGTTGCACCCATCAACCTGTCATCTACATTAGGTATTTCTCCGAATGCTATCCCTCCCCTAGGCCCCCACCACCCAACAGGCCCCAGTGTGTGATGTTCCCCTCCCTGTGTCCACGCATTCTCATTGTTTAACTCCGAATTATGAGTGAGAACATGCGGTGTTTGGTTTTCTGTTCCTGTGTTAGTTTGCTAAGAATGATGGTTTCCAACTTTATCCATGTCCTGGCGAAGGACATGAGCTCATCCTTTTTATGGCTGCATAGTACTCCATGGTGTATGAAAAGTCAGGAAACAAAGTTGCTGGAGAGGATATGGAAAAATAGAAATGCTTTTACACTGTTGGTGGGAGTATAAAGTAGTTCAACCATTGTGGAAGGCAGTGTGGCGATTCCACAGGGATCGCGAACCAGAAATACCGTTTGACCCAGCAATCCCATTACTGGATATATACCCAAAGATTACAAATCATTCTACTATAAAGACACATGCACACATATGTTTATTGCAGCACTATTAACAATAGCAAAGACTTAGAACCAACCCAAATGCCCATCAGTGATAGACTCCATTTATTTTTTTAAATTGTGATGGTCTTTCCTATCTATTCGAATGTGAGTATTGGAATGGCAGGATATCTCTGTTCTGTACATTGTCCCCTACTATTTAGGATAAAGTCTGGTATATAGCAAGTGCCTAAGAAATTACTTGTTAAATATATGAATGCATAATGTGTCCTCACATTCTAGAGGCTTATAGCTCTGAAAATTCAAATGCATATACCTACTGCTCTGCTTTTTCCTGAACTCAAGTTCTCTAATAACTTAATAAAAATCATACATGCCTTGAACTTTAATCTTTATTAAATTACTTCCTCCATTTAATTAATAAATGTTTCCGGCTAAACATTATATAAAATGTTAGCATATTCCATTCATTCAATATAAATTTATTAACTTCAAATATTATATAAGTTCTTGAAGATTCATATATTTATAACACATTATCGACTTTCCAGGAGCTGCCATTCAAGTGGGGGCACAGACATATAAAGTCTTAAGTTTATCAAATAGAGAGATAGAAGATAACACATCGTTCTGGATGAACCCATTAGGAGAGGCACCACCTTGAGAAACGTGGGTCAGTATGGCTTCTCAGAAAAGATGATACCTGCATTGATTATTTAAAAAATCTTCTTAATGCTCTTTTGCCACTCTAATGCTGTTTTTTTAATTTCTCAAATTTTCGATAACTAGAGTACACATAAGTTTTGAAATTCTGTTTCCTAAGCCATTGCCAAAAATATTAGATTTTATCAGGTGAAGCTTGGCGGAAGAACACTAAACTTCCCCTAAATCAGTACCAAATTACCAATTGTTAATCACTATGTTTAGGTTCTTGACGAGCAAAGTTCCTACACAATAACATTATCTAAACCACATGCAGTTCTGTCAATGGAAAAACAGTACTGTGTCATTTGAAAGAGAAGTAACTGTATTATTGGAGTCAAGTTAAATTAGATTTGCTCTTTCTTGTTATTGATAAAGCCTATCATGCTACAAAAAGAAATTTGTTTGACAACTGTGTGTCTTGTGAATATTTTAAAAAAGCAAAAACATTTTCTAAGTAAGTTTTCTTCAATAAGTATTAATAAGGATTGAGTTATCTTCAAAACTGAGTTATTTAAATGTATCTAAAATATCAAAAATGTGTTTGTAAGCCATAAGAATGATGAAAGGGCTGGATAAAGGAGTTTTCAGCTTTAGTCACTATTTTCAGCTGAATAAAAATGACAGAATAATAATATAAATGAAAGAAAACAAAGTCAGAAGAAATATTGAAGTACATTTTTCAACGTAAAGAACTATAAGCTTCAGCTTTGGCATAAATAGTGATCACTCTCATTGAAGATAATACAATGAATTGTGGAATGTTGCATAACTGAAGTGTATGAATTCTTCACAAGAGTAAAGCAGTATTGAAGTAGAAAGCGAAGGGGGTGTTGAGAAAAAACAGAAACCTTTCCTACTTGTGTATAACTTAAATACAATTTTTCCATTTGGAGTGATATTTGAATAAGCCTGTATAGAAATAAAGATTTTGAAATATGTTTCTAATTAATGAAATCCTTATGATAGATAAGACATACTTAACACTATGGCCCAAAACATACCCTTTGATAGGCTAAATTAATGTTGAAAATTTCCAAAACACCTCCTTTATATTTTCTGTTGACATTGAGAAACCTATTACCTATATATTTTTATTTTAATCTAATGAAAATTTCCCAGTGAACCCACACAATCTGTTTTTATTGGTAAGGGTTTAAATAGAACAGATACATTATTGTAAGAGTTACAGTGTAAATCTAGAGGGGATGGATTTTAACTCAAAATATATTTCCTTACCTTGACTTTTTACCTGCAAATGGATTCCCCTTTCGTCTTTTGAAAAAGTTTCTATTTGCTATCTCTTTCCATTCAAATAGCTTCGTATCCTAGGTCTAAAGGTAAAACAGTCAAAGCAAATCAAACTAAAACTAAACACAAACTAAAATGTTTATGTATTTCCAAATGTGCCTCCTTCCCATTTACTTCTCAATTGATAAAATCCAGCCGACAATGTTTCAAATGGCGTATTTTACTAAATCTCTTGTGCACTTTTACAGTTCTATACTTTCCATTTCACTGAAGGCAAACTCTCCTGGAGCACTTCACCTTAATGGCACTTTTGTATTATCTTTTTAAACTCCTTTTCCCAGCCCTTCTATCATTCTTTCTAGTAACTAATCTGCATTATCTCCGTGGAAGGCCTCATCTTCCCTCATTGTTCCATTTACTACTCAGACAGTATTGGTGCCCAAACTGGTTCCTCTAATTCATGTTTTTCTTTGAAGCTGAGTTAATGTACCTAATCATCTGAGGGTATATTTTAAATTCATTTAGTATTGTTACCTAATATAGAAACTTCACTGATACCTATTCTTGAATTTCCTCTTTCTCTTACCCTTAAATGCAGTTACTGGTTTCATATTCTGTGTACATCTTAAAACTGAAACTTCTCTTTATTAATTCTAACTTTACCATAACATAGCTCATTATAGACTCTTACCTAATTCTCCATTACAACCCCTTTACAAGTGAGGAGAAAGCATGTCCTGAAGAAAAAGTTGTATTGGCTCAGACACTGTTTTATAGTTGACTAAGTTGATACTCTTTAAAAATAAGACATTTGACATGAAATCCAGACTTCCATTTTCTCTTGCATATTTGGGTGATCTGGCAACCATTATCTGAGTTATATATTATGGTAAAAGTAAAGTGTTGTAAAAAAGCAATCTGAAAAAAAAAACTTAAATGTACTAGAATATTACTTATTTAAGTAACTGTATTTGAAGAAATGAGACAAAATATAACAAAAAGTATAGGAGAATAAACATTTTTTCAAGTTTATATTGGAAAATTGAGTATTAAAATACTGGTAATGGAACATGTCTCCTCAAATCGAAGAACATTGCAAATATTTAAATCCTCCTCCAAAATATACACAATAATACATTCATAATTATAATTCATAATTTTCCATAATTAATTTCCCTAAACTTTTCCTAAAATTATTTTTTCCTAATGGATGTACATCATCTTTTAATCTTTTATTATATTCGTTGCCCATTGATAGACACTTTGATTGCCTGCAGATTTGTAATGATAAAATTTATACGAGAAACCTTTTTCACCTTAGAAATAATGGAGTCTTTTTATTGTTTCTCAGAGATTTTTAAAGCAATTATCTTCAACTCAGACGTTTAAATATGGTATCTGTAACTAATGATAATTTTGTTTCTTATTTTCATTATTTGTAATTTCTCTTTCATTGACTTTTGCCTTCAAACATTAAATAATTGTGGATGTTCATAATTTGGGGCTTTAGATTGTATACCTTTCTTCTTTTATTATCGTTAATCATTCATGTTAAGGCATTAAGAACATGACACTATATTTATATATACATATATAATATATATGCATTGAAAAAATATATATAAAAATTACCTTCAGTTTCCAAATAAACATTTGACAAAACTCAACATCAATTTAAAACCATATATATTACCATATATGTATATATATGTAAAATATAATATATGTATATATGGTTAGATATATACATATATGGTTATGTATTATTATATACATATATATGATGTATACATACATATATACATTATACATATATGCATATATGGTTATATATGATTATATATGTATATATGGTTAGATATATATGGTTTTAAATTGTATATATATGGTTATAACATATGTACATATATGGTTTTATATATATATAACTTTGTCAAATGTTTTTTGGAAACTCAAGATAATATGTATATATTATTTAAATTTATGTTTTCTTTATTAAAAATGAGCAAAATTCCAGTCTTATTACTGATTGAAAAATAGTTGTCTGAAAATTAGTCTGATAGGTAACATTGAATTTTATTTGCTAATTCTATTGAAAATATTTGCCTCAATTTTCATAAATGAGATGGCCAGTATGTGAAAAGCATTTAATACAGTCATGACACACAGTATTTTATAAGTGCTTTAGCTATTTTATAAATGTATGAGTTATATTCATTCATGATTTTAAAAACTATGAATTTCTTATGTCTCATTCTATAAAGAATAAAAAAACTAGAGTAGTTCATTGCATATTCAATTATCTATACCAACACGTCTTCCTGGACTAGGAGTGAGGTAACAATTTTAATTTTATATTTTCTCCTAGATAACTTCATAATGTAAATAATATGTGTGTGCCATCATGTCCTTCTCATCCAACCTAGACTGAATATAATTAACTCTTTGCTAATAATGATTAGGAAATTATTCATAGCACATATATAATTCTCCATATTTTCTAACCACACACAATGTCAATATTTGTAATATTCCCCATTTCTAACCAGACTATCTGTATTTTAAACTCATTATTAATATATTTTAATTGATTCAATATTTATTATTTTCTTCTTAACACAGAATTTATGTTATTTCTTGGCTGGCTAGAATCTATAAAATGCATGACAAAAGTTTTCTCTGAATGTATAAGGAAACACAACTTCAACATGGTTTCCATGAAACATCAAAAAGATTGGTAATGTTTTCTTTTTTTTTTCTTTTTCTTTTTTTTGGGATACAAGGTCTCACTCTCAGCCAGGCTGGAGTGCAGTAGCAAGACCTTGGCTCACTGCAACTCCTGTCTCCTGGGTTCAAGCAATTCTCCTGCCTCAGTCTTCCGAGTAGCTGGGACTAAGGTTGGCAATTTTAAAATAGGGTTTCAGACTTCCATGAGTCCACTAGTTGTGTGCCAGGTCATTAGTTGATTAAAAATAAATAAATAAATAATGTGTGGACGTGGTTCTTTACTAAGAATAATGTTAGTTTTAAAGTTATAGTCAAAATATTTTAGAAATCGATGGCTTATAAAAACTCATAGTACAAATTTCAAAAACCTCTAGTAATAATTTTGAAACATTTTTTTTGTAAGGCATGTCATGATATTACTCTTATTCTTGTGTGTGATTTAGTATGTGTTAAGGTTATAAAGACAAATAAAAGTTTTAAATAGGAGGCTTAATTCTTCCTGGTGAAAATAAGGGAATTGACTTCTTGTCACCTCCCTTTTTTCTCAGAGCATATACTTAAAAAATCTTGTAGCTTTAAGTATTTTTCCTTTCTTTGAAATGAATGTCACATTTCCTTAAATGAATGTAAATCCTTTTCAAAATGTTATAAAATTCCAGCCAGCTTTATGTTGACCCAGAAATACCTTTCTCTAAAGCTTAAGTACCATCTCTTTGAAAGGTAAACATCAAGGGAGATAACACCCCTACGTCTAATTTTCTGTATGGAGATAGGAGTCCAACTTTGGTGAACTTATTGCTCCAACTTGCAAAATTACCTTTTCATTATAAAGATAAGAGAAGTTTGTTTATACTCTTGGTAAAGCCAGTTAGCTGACAAAGATGGTCACTATAATTACTAGATGAACCTGGCATCAAGTCTGCGTGAAAATGGTGCTGTCATGTTATCTTAATGAAGACTAGTTATTGCTTATCTTGGAAACATTTATGAAATGGGTTGTATCTGGTTGGCTATATGTAAGGGTGCTATCTGTTTCTGTGTTTGCTATCTGAGCATATTGCCTTGGATGCCCATTATATTCTACTATAAATATTAGTCAGTAATAAAAGTGTTTTACTTCTCTGCTACTCTTGGGGAGATGGTTCTGAGTTCAGGAATGATACTGTTTTGAATTACATTTCTCCAACAAATGTAATTTATCATATTTTATATAGATCAGCCTCACACTAACTACAAAATATGGAATGTAAATATCTTCTTCCCAACACCTGAGAGAAAAATAAAAACACATGCTATAATTTTATTATGATATTTGTCAGGATTGGCATACTTGTTTACTCATGAAAACAATCATCTGTGCACATATTAATGAATTAAATAATGAAAAGCAGGTGACAATTGCAATTAAATATACAAAATTATCTAATGACTCTATGTGTAAAAGGCAGTAAGATAAATAAAACACAGATCTTGCCATAAAATGACTCATAATCTTCTGAGATATTTATTCTCTTCTGAGGCATAGATTCATTAACATAGCATAAGAGTGAAAAAAGCACTATTACTCCACCTACTTTATAAAATGTTTAAAAGTAATAACCCTTTTAGCACATAATAATTCCTGGGAAATAGTTACTTTACTAATAAAAATATGATATTTATCATTAATAAGTTTTAAACAATGATACTAAAGGTTAATATGTTATATATGAACGTTTTTTGTTTTCTTTTTTTTTCTTTTTTTGAGACAGGATCTCACTCTGTCACCCAGGTTGGAGTGCAGTGGCACTATCTTGACTCACTACAACCTCCACCTCCCGGGTTCAAGCTATTCTCCCACTTCAGACTCCCAAGTAGCTGGGACTACAGGTGCATGCCACCACACCCAGCTAATTTGTGTTTTTGTTTGTTTGTTTTGTTTTTGTTTTGGTAAAGGTGAGGTTTCAACCATGTTGGCCAGGCTGGTCTTAAACTCCTGACCTCAAGTGATCTGCCTGCCTCAGCCTCCCAAAGTGCTGGGATTACAGGCATGAGCCACCATGCCTGGCCACTATTTCATATTTTAAATACATGATTTACTACCTTTTAGATAATTTCAAAAAAGAAGTGAAATCTCTCATTTATGTCATGAGACTAGTCACTGAGAACCATAATTTTGGAATATTGAACACCTCACGTTCAGTAAATTTTACACTGCCGGTTTGAACAGGAGTTTAAAATCTTATCAAATTTTGATTATTAAAAAAACTTTTGTTCTGAAACTGATACTTTTGATGTGTAAAAATATTTTTATTATTAAAATATTTTATTTAATATGAAAATAGAAAAAATAAGATAAATGAATGTGTGGATTCTTAACTATTTGAACTGTAAAGAATTGAAGTATTTGTATTCACAAAAACCATATCTTCCAAGTGTTTAGTAACATATAATGGCTACTGATATGATAGATAACTGGGCAAGCAGTTAGCAAGATATTGAGGATATAAATGGAAACAACAGGCAGTCTCTACCTATAATTATAATTATATAATATATAATTAGGTATAAATGGAGTGCTATACATGTAAATGAATAATTAATGAAACATAATGCAGAAAAAGAGACTGACCCCAATTTTAATTCTAAAGGAAGCATTTGTTACTTGTGAAGATAAATAGTTTCAGGCCCAAAAAGCAGATCCAAATACATCTAAACAAAAATTAAGAAGTTTCTGATGGCTTTTATAAATAATAGTTTCAAAGCAGTGCTAATACATAAAGCTGTAGTGACTTAAGATATAAAATGAAAATATATTAAATTAAAAATGTGTTTCCCTTTAATTAACCTGGTAGTAAAATATTGAGTTTTAAAAATTTTATTTTCTTTATTGTTTTCTTTTCGAAACAGGATGCAAGCCGTCAACTTGTAATACAGGCATAGGTAATGTCACAGAGAAGCTAATGAATCTTAAGTTTCAGGATTCCTCACTTCCACAGGTTTATTGTAAGGCACTTTGACTAATTTTATATTATTTCTTAAAGCAAAGCCCCAGATAGTGCAAATTTCAAAGCCTTCAAAACCCTGGGTTCTCTTTTGTTTCAGAGTTAAGTTTGTTAAAAAGCTCACAAGAAATACCAGCGTTTCGATTAGGAAACCAAATAGGAAAAGAGGAAGGAGGGAAACTAACCAGAACAAAACAATTATACATTTGAATTTGCAGTTTTCTAATAAGAGGCTTGTCAACTTATTTGATTTTAACTTTTCTTCTTCTTCTTCTTCTTCTTATTATTATTATTATTTTCAGCAGAGAGAGCAGGAATAGGGAGAATAGATTTAAGTCACAATTCAAATATCACATTCTTGTAAAGGCTACTCCTTGCTCACTACCTATGATAGAATCTTCTCTGCTGGTCCACTCAATCTTATCATTGCCAAGAACTATGAATATCCTGAGACTTTTCCCTAGTGGCAAACTATCAAGTAAACCTGCTATAGTTTCCTGGTTGTTAGCAGAGAAATCTGGATCAGAGACAAGGTTCTTTATTACTGCAGATCAAGCAGCATGAACTTCATGCCTTCATTTATTCCCCTTGAGAGGACAATGTGGAAACACCAGATGGATGCCACACAAGCAGTAGGTTTGTGTCAAAGCCAAAATTAAAAATTAGAACCAAAAAACAAAAAACATACTCACAAAACCAATCTTAGGAAACCTCAATACTTTAAAGAGGCCCTTACAGGCAAATGTGCTGAAACCTGACTTAGAAGGAGACATTATTTAACTATTTTGGAGGGCAGAAAATCTGTCCTTTGCTCTGGAGAAAGACACTCTGTTTCCCATATTGGCTTGCTATATAGGGTTGAAACGATAGTATATAAAGGAAACTTCCAATACTTGTGCGCAGATGATAAACAGACACGTGAAAATCTAGTAGAGAATTGTCTATCAGAAATCACCAACACTTTGGAATTTCCTTTGCCTGAGAATTTAAAAGTTTCTACAAACTTAGAGGAAGACGGAGTGTTTCCACAGCAACAAGTGGCCATCAAAGTCTGTTTAATCATTCAGTGACAACCCATCTCAGTTAGCATGCTTTAGCAAGCTTACTAATCTGTGGCAACCCTTTGCTTCTGAAAGACCACTGGAATGAATTATGTCTAATAATCTCACCTCTGAGTGGCAAACAATGAACAATCACCTTATCTGAGTAACCATGCTTCACTGCTTACACAGATTATGTTGACTCTCTTATATCCCGAAAAGCCCTCTAACCACTGAACTCATTTCCTTTTAACAGTACATAAGATCAGCAGTCTGCTGTCTTCAAGGAGACTGCAGCTGATTAGCATATATCTCTCCAGAGGCAATAAATGTCCCATGTCTTTTTATTTCAGATAATGCATAGTGGTGTCATCACTTTATGACTTTTTTTATGCATTCATTCACTTACTTGTATTAATTTGGTATCTATTTTCACTCCCTAGATGATAAGTTCTATGAGAATAGAGTTCTCACCTGTCTCATTGGCCACTATGTTCTTAACCAGTTTATTCTCAAGCCCAGAGTAGGCTATCCATAAATACTGATTGAAGCGTTTAATTAATTAAATAATTCAATGTTGAAGGTTGGTAAGATGTGTGACAATAAATAAATTAGATCAATTAAAGGTATAGTAGCTGCTCACATTCTAGTCTACATTGAGAGGTATGTGAAAATAGGAGAGCCTAGAAGACTAAAAACCATTAGGGGGAGTCTAAATTCATGATAAAATATAAGATGACAGTTGAAAATGAGGAAAGATGAAAAAATTGGTGAGAAAATAAAGCATTCAAGATTATGACTTCAAGGTTTAAGTAGTTGGCAGAATCTAGAGTAGTGTTGCCCAATAGAACTCTGTGCAGGAATAGAAATAGCCATATATGGCTACTGAGAACTTGAAACAACTCGAGAGGGACTGAGGGTCTGATTTTTAAATTTAATTTAATTTAATTAATTTAAATTTAAATTCAAATAATTATGTGTAGCTAGTAAGCTAGTGTATTCAACAGCACAGATCTAGAGCATCCTTAACATTTTTGTTTTGGGGTCCCTTTGAAGGGCTGACATAAATTCTAGATTTCATTCATACAATTTTGCATCTAGGGTGAGTACATGGAAAAAGGCTATTGAACTACAATGGAGATAATGGTGCAAAGAAGGTAATGGAATGAAGAAGTCTATATAGGAATGATCAGTGATATTGACATAGAAATCACATAAAATGATGGAAGAAATCACACTCCCACTCTTTCTCAATTCTGCTTTTTGGAGCTCATTTCTTAATAAAATAATGGCATTTTAACCTTGTGCCTTAGGCTCTGCTGTCCACAGACCCAGGCTAAGAGACCAGGCGTGTGCAAAGAGAGGTTCCAGAAAGTAAGCCTTCACTATGGAATTTGGGAAATGGAAATGGATTTATCCCCATTTTGTTAGCAGTAAAACCCCATGGATGAGGATAAATGAGGCGGTGTTGATCCCTGACATTCAGTGATACAACTGGGGAAACACTAAAAGTTTCTTCCACAAATACATTCAAATATCATCATACAGGAAAATTCAGAAATTTTTGTTCTTCCTGAAACCAAGAAATGGGCATATTTAAAGATGATTAGAGTATTGAATTATGTGCAATAATTAATAGGAAGGGCAAATCATACAGCAATTAAAAATTCTGGAATTTTCAACATTCATTTTTAAATTTTCAGACAAAAAGTGTACATATTGTGTACAACATGATGGTTTGAAATATGTATACATTTTGGAATGGCTCAGTCAAGCTAATTAACACGTTCATTACTTCACATACTTATCCTTTTTTGTAGTGAAAACACAAAATCCACAGTCAACAATTTTCAAAAAGGAAAGGTATTTAGCAGGAACACATATGATTTAAGTGAAACAGAATAGATTGAGTGAATTGTACAAAACAAACTGGTCAAAGATTTGAAGGTGGAAATTTTCAGTGAAATAGTTTGCAGCTAAATTAAATCTGTTGACGTGATGATTCAACTTTTTGGTGGGAAAGCATAAGTGATCATTCAACTGTGTAAGTGAATAAGTATATAGAATGGCATGATGAGCCTGTTAACTTTAACTAAGCACACTGTAAGGAGATTTTTGGGGGTTTGGAGGCAGTCATGTATAAGTGTACTACAAAGGGCTTTGGAAAAAAATGGTAATATTTGTTTATATGACTTCCAAATGCTCCAGTGTTAGCAGAGAAATGCTGAGTTGATCAATTATGTTAAAACTCAATTTTAAAAGTAAATTCATTTTGGGATTAATTCACATACTTTGACCAGTTCATCTTTTCTTTCACTTTACATTTGTTTGAAATTAAAAAGTGTAGCATGCTCCAACTACTTTAATCAAAAGGTTTTTAGAAGCTGAATATGTATCTATCATTTTGAATCTCTGGCATAGAATTTTCTTTTTATTCTATTGAATGTGGCTGATGTCATTATACGTGCTACCAAGATATATCACCATCTTCAGTATACAACAAAAAATCATTGATTGGTTAAAGTAGATAGACACAATCACTTTATGCAGAGATTTGCTGCCTGTTGATAATTTGAATTTTGCTCTTAAGGAAAAAAGAAGCATGATCACAAAAGTTGGTAGAATAAAATAGAATTCATATAGGTATTAAGTAACATAGATAAAGTTTATTTACTGTCTACTGATTCTAGGACAAAATTTTTAAATCCTGTAAGTCTCAGTTCCCTCATATATGAAGTAAAATATCTGAAAGAATTAATGAAACAGCATATGCAAATTATTAATCATGTATTTTGATTGACCAAACACATGATTAATAAGCAAATAATTGAGAAGGTGGTAAATCCAATTCATGGTTGTTAAAGCACATACGGAGAAAACTTCTATTGCTCTTTCTCATGGCTTTAAACTTAACTAGTCTCAGATTGTTTCAATGCAATGCAATTTTAAGATAAAAGCTTCCTAAATATATTTACTATAACTTATTAAGTTTAATAAGAACATTGCTGTAACTGCCCCTGATAGCAACATTAAGACAGACAAATTCCTAATCAGACAGGGATGGATCCCCAGTGAAACTCAACTTTCAAGCCAAGGACAGCCTAAAGCCTGAAAACCGAGTTATCAGTTCTGGATAGAATCCATGGACCAGAGTGAGCACTTCCATCTCCGTCTTACTCACTCTCTCTTAACTGTTTTTTTTTTTTTCTGCATTATGCTTTTTAACCCATGAATGGTGCCTTTTCCAGGACACCCAAAGAGCAATCAGCACACATTCTCCCATTCTAAGCTCATTATAAAACAGGAATCAGCTTCAAAAAGGGCTATCCACCTTCAGGTCCCCTCTTGCTGTCTTTTCTTTAACTCAATAAATTCTACTCTGCCTTACCTGCCTCCACTATCTGCATACTTTATTCCTCTTGGTCACAGGACAAGAACCTGGAAGTTGCCAAACTGTAGGAGCAAAAAAGCTGTAAGTCTTCTGCTTGCTAAGCTGTATGGTGGTGGGAGTAAAAGAGCTTTAACACTGCTGCCTGCTGAACTACAGGAGTAAAAAAGCTGCAACACCCCTACCTAGATACTAATAATATCAACAATAATTATAGTTTTGTAAAGATAAATTTCCCTTTGGGTGACTTGCAACATATTTTTTATGTTCAAAGAAATGCTATGTTTTCAAAATTCTATATCTCTTCTTTTTCACATTGTAAAGTTACTAAAATTGAGATGCATATTACAGCTCAGGTCAAATTTAACATAGTAGTAAGTAAATTCATGAATTATCTTGCAATCTAAGGCATTTTAGAATAAGGAAAGTTGATTAATTGCAATGAGTATAAATATATATAGTTACCTTGTTTGTGCAAAGAAATATAACTTTACTTTTTTTCAATATTCAATTTATTTTCTGACTTTAAGCCCTCTTTCTGTTTGATGTATAAAGCCAATATAGTCACTTCATTGTAAAATAAATCATTCTATGATCCCTTAGTTATTGGGGAGTTTTGATTCAGGAATTAAATTTCTCCTCCCGGTGTTCATTTCCAACCTAGCTAAGAAGAGGCTTTTGCAAATGCCAACTTGATGGTGGAAAGGAGTACCCGTTACTTGGTCTTGATTAATCTCTTCTCAAATATGAGTTGTCTTGACAAAGATGGCGTTATCATAGCTTAATAGGTTTCTAATATTGATATTCAGAACAATGTGCAAATGAACACTAATTTATTTTCAAAATAAATAATTTATATAAATCTTGGTATTACAGGCCTTTTAACTTTATGTCTTCCCTAGTTCTCACTACCTTTCAAAGTTCTCAGTCCAGAATCCCCACATCTGAGTGCCCCCCAACCCCCTCCCCCTCCACCATGGATAACATGATGAACTCACTCTTTCTCGGCCAACTCACATTAGTCTAATTTCTGTAACATAGTTACTGCAGCTAAGAGCTTCAGCTCACTGTGGTTAAACAGGCACTGAGCCACATGCCATGATGAGGTCAATCTAAAAGCAATGGTATAAGTTTCTTTATAGAATGTAGAGTCAATCTGGCTGCTACGGAATGTGCCTGTAGGGCCAGCTAATCGGGAAGCTGAGGCAGGAGGATTATTTAAGCCCCGGAATTGGAGTCCAGCCTGAGAAATATAGCAAGAACCAATCTTTAAAAAAATAATAACAATAATAGTAAATTAAAAAATATTTAGAGTCACTGCTCATTCAGCAATTGAATTACTGCTATATTTGTTAACAACCATTCTTGCTGTTGACAAGTTAATTTAGGTTTATTTGCCCAATAGAATGTAAATTCTATTTGTTTACTGAAACTAATGTATTAATTGATAAGAAAATATTTTCTTACATCCTTATGAATGAAATATATGGGTATTAAAATAAAAAATTCTACTCCACTCAATCTCTACAGACTGAGGCTGATTAAATATACTGGGAAAATACTATACACATTGTTCTTTGGCTGTTCACAAACAAGTAAGTGACATTTAAAGTTACAACTACTTTAACATATTAATTGACCAGGATTCTGGAAAGTGCAAGACAATAAAAACAAAGCAAAGGTAATTAAAGACTGCTAATAAATTCATAATTTACAAAATATTAAGCATAAATATGAGATAAAATAAGCAAATGAAAAAAGTAAAATCAAAATCTGATCTATTTTGGGACAAGAGCAAAAAGTCTAATATATTTGTATATCATCCCTAGAAGAAGAGGCAGCCCACACCAAAATCTAATTTTAATTGTACCTCAAATTTGAAAAATTAAAGCAAAATGTTGAAAATCCACTGGGAAACATTTGACACTGATGTAAATTCAGTTAAACACTTGACATTTAAGATAATGTTTTTGTTTTTATATTGATATTATTATAATGAATATAAATTTTAGAAAATACAACATTGTGGTAAAAAGTTTCTTGTTAAGAAACTTACGGACCAGAAATGTAGTTGCACTGGGTTATGGCACACACATACTTGAAAATTATGTCTAAAATAAGTGTGACAAAAGAGTTTGGTGCTGTAATTGTCAAATTTACAAACTCACCTGTATTGAGTCACTGAACTGTACCATTTTGGACAAAGCTGATATTGAATAGAAAATATACTATATTATATGAGATTGTACA
The DNA here is from genome assembly GCF_000001405.40 of Homo sapiens. Classification (NCBI taxonomy): domain Eukaryota; kingdom Metazoa; phylum Chordata; class Mammalia; order Primates; family Hominidae; genus Homo; species Homo sapiens. Next base: position 67,179,144 of record NC_000006.12, on the reverse strand, counting down.
TTCTCTTTGTGCTGCCTAACATTGATTGAATTTCAAAAACATTTGAGACTTTAAAAACTTCTTCATAAAATAACTAATGATCTACAATGGTAACAAAACATCTAATTAAATAATAGTCTAAATTTTGGTTCAAAAATTATTAGAAATTTGTAATAAAAATATACAAATTATGTACCTCCAAATAATATTTTGTTTCTCAATTTTTAGTGAATTACATTTAATAAAATAAAAGTTTACATGACAGGAAAGTACTAAAATTTATCCTTAAAAATAAAGGTCACAACCAAGCAAATTAAATTACGACAGCATTGGATTTAATCTTGAAATTCTATGGTTTCGCCTTGGAATTTCTCAAAGTGTAGGAAGAAAATTTTAATAGATCTATTTAGCATGAGATAATCATATAATTTGAACCAGAATAAAATAAAACGGAAGAAACATATGTTAGTATGATGCCTAAAATGACAAATCATTCAAAATAATAATAATAATAATAATAATAATAATTAGCTTCAATTAATTATATAGTAAAAAGATAGCTTAAATGTATATTCATAAAAGTTTTTTGAGTTTATAAATATAAATAGCATATGGAATTCTTGTTCTACTTTTTGTCATGGAGATTATGTTCATGTACAAGGAAACACACACACACACAAGCAAAGAACTAACTATATTAAATAATGAAGATTTTCTTCTTATCTCTAGAAGGCTGTCAAAGTCATCAACATTAAATTAGAAGCTATGTAATACACAGATATGTGGGAAATCATTTCTCAACCTGTGTTTTAGTAAGTAGGGATTATCAAATCGATTTCAGCAAATTTCTCATTTCAAAACAGGTAGAATTGAGTTAATACTTTCAAACATTGCTTTAAAATGTGAATAAATTGATACTGATTGGGGGCATGGCTTTTCATTAGTCAATCATCCTTAAATAATAAATGAGATGGCTGGGCGTGGTGGCTCAGCCTGTAATCCCAGCACTTTGGGAGGCCAAGAAGGGTGGATCACAAGGTCAGGAGATGGAGACCATCCTGGCTAACATGGTGAAACCCCGTCTCTACTAAAAATACCAAAAATTAGCCAGGCATGGTTGCACGGGCCTGTAATCCTAGCTACTCGGGAGACTGAGGCAGAAGAATCGCTTGAACCGAGGAGGCGGAGGTTGCAGTGAGCCAAGATCGCACCACTGCACTCCATGCACTCCAGCTTGGGCAACAGAGCGAGACTCTGTCTCAAAATAAATAAGTAAATAAATAAATAAATAAATAAATAAATATGTTTTGCTTTCTAAATGAAGAACAACTAAACCCAGCAACTTTTTCCACAATGGTACAAATAATAGAATATAATACCCAAAGACTTTTTTCTCATTCATTTATCCTTCCTATTACGTTTACATTCTCCTATTATTTATTATTTGTCTACACAGAGATTCATATACCTATTCATATATACATACATGCGTATGTATATACATAATGTATATACATACGCATGTATGTATATATGTATATACATACGCATGTATGTATATATGTATATACATGCATGCATGTATGTATATATGTATATACATGCATGCATGCATATGTATATACATGTATACATATGTGTTTTCATACATAAATACACATACTTTCTAAATATTTATCTACACCCATACTCACACACAGTAAGGTATCAGTGGCAGTCCTATTCTCTTGTAATGAGGACCTCAGCATAGTCATCCAAATATTAGTTTGATTTTAAACATATTCAATTGGGCTGTGTAGTTCAAGTTGACAGAATGGAATAGAGAAAACTTTCTTCTCAAACTAAACTGTCATGGATTATTTTTTACCTGTGTCAATACTGCCTTACTATAAGCATGACCTTGGATATTCCACATGAATATTTTTAGCCTTTTGCTCAATCCCCATTTTCCCTTATTTTTGTCTAATATCGAAAAACAGACCTTATTCGACTAATACATACACAATGCACTAGTCATTTTCAGAATGGCAGAATGTATTGCCCTTTTGAAGCAGGGCGAAAAGGGTATGTTGTCTATATGGTGTCACTAGTGAAAATGCCATTTAAAAAAATAAAGGCAAATTCATACTACATCCCAGAGAATCTGTTCAAATACATGAAAAGTAGAACGTTAACACTGAAAATGCTTTCAAAGTCACAGGCCTGGTTTCACAGACTGAATTACTGTTGACTTTCCTTAGCATTTTTTGATAGTTAATTCCAAGGGGACTTGTAGAGCTATTGCAACACATTTCTTAGGCTCGTCTGAAGAGTGCCTTCTACTTACAGGTGGTCAAAAAGAATTTAAGAAGACAGGCTTAGGAGAATGTTGCTCTCTAATTTCCTTCTATCTGAATTTTTTATCTTGATACCTATCAGTTTCCAATGTATTCATCTTTAACCATTATATAACTAGAAAGTCTGGATCAAAGAGAAACAACTGTGATGAGCTTGGAAAGAATAGGATAAAGGGTTTCTCTTTCCATTAATGCAAAACATATTATTTAGTGTGTTTTAAGCTAAAACAAGAGCTGTCAAACAAATGCAAAGAATGAATTAATTTCAATTACAACTACTATAATTACAATATTTACATTGTACTAATATCATTCCAAACTACTGTCAAAAATTCCTAATGTTTTTCAATCTCATAATTATGGATTATAAAAGATAAATGTGTCTATGAAAGTAATCTAGATGTACATTCTTTTTGATAGACATATGCTAAATGCAAAGTCAACACTGAAATTAAATTCCTGGCTGCAAGTTACTACACACAAACATGCACACACACACACACACACATACACACACAGACATGTGAATCAAAACAAAACAGAGGACAAAATGACACAATAGTCATTGTTTGCTAATTATTTTTGTTAAACAACTGCCATTATTCTAATAATTATTTAGTATATTCTATTGATCAATCACATATAGGGCATATAATAGAGAAATAAAACAGCTTTCATGCCAATAGGAGAGTCAGAAAATAAATATGTAATACATAATAATGAATAAATATAGATAGAATTATAAGGGAAAATTAAGTTGCATAAAAGACTGGGGAAATTGCAGTAGATAAAGTAAGCAGACCTACTGTTACATAAATTTTTCTATCCATATGACTTTCACACCTTATAATAAACCTTAAAATAACTCACAAGTATTACAATATCTTTTTTAGGAGTACCACAAATTCTAAAATTTCCATTGACTGAGCCATCCTACCAATCAGAAGTCATGTAAATAAGATGTCCAGAATATATAGATTAAAAACAATATCTTTTCAGACTTTTTTTAAAAATCACAATTTGAGCAGAACAAAAATCAGCAAATTTGATCAAGATTAAAGTGTATTTTTAAATTACTGAAATCAACTTATTCTAGATATGTTTAAAACATAAATTAATATGATCATGATAAAATACATACTTTTGCTTCTTTGCCTCAAAAAAAGATAGTAACTAAGTACGGTGCTATGAAAAACACTAAAGTGTGTGTGTGTATATATATATGTATATATTTTATATCTATTCAATTAAATTTGAAGTTATAAAGTACATAAATTTTATTATTTAAATGTCATATCATAAAGTATTATTTTATTTACAAGTTGAACTAATCCCACCCTTATTTTCTTCTTAAAAAGTAAATTAGTTGCACTTTGTTGTAATTAACATGAAAGTGTCATTTAAAAATACTGCCTGCTTCTTAGATTTACATGACAAAGGAGACTTTTCAAGTCTGGCCCATTTATATTTGGCTATTAAAGTTTGTGAGTGTAAAAGAGTTACTGGATTATTTATTGCAGAGTGACAGAGACAGTAAAAGGCTATAAGTGAGTGAATGTTTCATTTGTAAGCCTACATTCAAACAACTACTTGCAGAGGTGACTCGGCTAATATGGGCTTAAAGTGTTGTCAGTACTACATGCTGAACTATGAGGGTCACCACTGAAACCAAACATGGCATGCAGTGATAAATGAAAAGCAGGCAGATCATTGCAAGCAGAGTTTTCTTTATGTTTAGTTTAAGATGAGTCCATTTATGCATCCTCCTACTCCATCAGTATGAATTATATATAGGTGTAGATATATGAACAAATACATAAATATACATAAATTCATATGCTAAACATAATTCTTTAATCCTATTAGCCAGAGTTTTCTGTACCTTATTCATTTTTTTGCAATATGATTTATCTCGTCACTTTCAAATGAAGATATTAACAGAGATAAAGCAACAAAGCATGTATGTTCTGATTTTTAAAGAAATTTTATGGGTCTGATTCTCTTCATCTCTGTCCTTCGTAATTTATTAAGAATGTATAATTCACTGGTACTTGTAAAATCCATTGATTTTCTGTGACCATGTCTTACTTATCTGCTAATCAAACATCCGTCAGTATGTATCACCTGGAACAAAGTTAGAGACCTATAATTATCACAGAAAATATCTCTAAGCAGCGGATAACTGGCCATCACAAACCTTGTGCAAGAGAAGCATAAAACTGTTACACTTTTACCCACAAAATAGAGTCTATTACTTAGCATTATTTTAATAATAAGCCTGCTGAATTGACGTGTTCGGTTATCGGATCTGCCCAACTTCCATCTCTTCAGTTTAAAAGGCAGAGAGAAGCAGATAGTGAAAGAAATTGACTCTGAACAAGTAGCTTTCAAAGGGAGTAGAAACAGAAGCATATGAATCGCAATTTATAAACTCAACTGGGGCAAAAAGACCCATACGCCTTAATATTTCCTCAAAGCATTATGGCACTTGAAGTTAGTTAAAATTTTTCAAAGTCTTCATTGAAGAAAATGTAATGACAGTTAATTTTAAGAAGGCAGGATAACTTTCACTCTATTTTTAAAATATATTAATAATATCATTTAATTTCAAAAGTGCTTATAAAGACATGGTGATAAAATGTTACTAGTTAGGTTAAAACAACATAGACAGTACAAGAAAAAATATTACAAAACTGATGTAAAATAAAGTAAAATGCATTACTGTTTCTATCACCTAACCAGAACTTTGAAAAGCAGCATATAGTCTGACTCCAATAAAATCATATTCTTTAATTCTTTGCACAGAAGTATCAAGGCATCAAATCATTGCATACCTAGATTTGACCCTGTGATGATGAAGGTTCTAAATTTGACTAAATGTTTTTTCATTCACTGTGTGAATGAATAAAAAACAAGGCACAAGTTTCAGGTAATGAATATGCATAACTGCTTTCACAAATGTTATTACTAAATATAGGATGATTTTTGTACAAAACCTTAATAACTCTGGATATATTTTAAAGTTGAGCTGCCAAAATAAGTAGAGTAAGGAACCCTTGTTTATTACTGTTATTTTCTGTACATTAATAACTGAGGTTTTATCAAAATTTCACCCATCTTAAAGGCTATATGCCCAAAGCAATTTGGTTGATACTATTTTTACTCCTTTCCGATTTTGCTATTATTATAGTAGAATATTTGGATATAAGTTGATTTGTCTACCCGGATTAAATATTGAATTTCAGCACAAATATAATTTAAAATAGTTTGTCTTTACAGGTGATCAGTAAATGTTCATTAAATAAAGGGATGTTGGCAATCTTTTAAGTAGTATCAATTATACTTTTAAAAGCAAGAGTGGTAGAAAATCCAGTTGGAGTTAAATTTCTTTTTATGCACCATATTAAGAATGGTGGTCCGTCTCCTCGTTCTCGTCCTTCTCTTCTTCTTCTACTGCTTCTGCTTCTGCTTCTGCTTCTGCTTCTGCTTCTCCTCCTCCTCCTCCTCCTGCTCCTGCTCCTCTTCCTCCTCCTCTTTCTCTCTTAATCTTCCTTCTTTCTTCTTTTCCTTCTCGTTCTTCTACCCTTTGCAATTAGTGCAAATGCCTGCTGAATCTCAGGTCTCAGTTGTGTATTCCACGCAAAATAATATTATTACCTTATTTTAATTTTTGGCCTCATGCCTTCCAAGAATATTTAACAGTGATTCGTAGCTAGGGTACTGATATAACTTACTAGTGTAAAAGCATACAATTTAATGTTTCTATTAATGGAAAATAAGATCCACACCATAATCCATCTTCAAAATCACTACATACATATAGATCTGTCAAATTGTTTATGATTATTTACAATGATATTCCATGGGATTATTAACGCTTTTATTTCTTACCACTTTTATTGCAATGGGAGAAAATTATCTGTCTTTACACGACTTACCCACAGTCAGTTGTTAGTGACTAAGGGACTGAGGACAAATTATTTACGTTTCATATCAAATTTTTAATATAGTTTCTTGCATAGTAGGTCCTCAGGAAATTATGAATTAATGAATGTGTTATTAAATAAATATGTAATAAAAAAACCTTAGATATTATTTTGCTCAAATCCCATACTTTGTATGAAAAATGAGTCAAAATATTTTATTCATTTCATGATGCTACAAAGTGCAAAGTAACCTGGCATACACAGTGATACAACATGTTTATAGTAATTTTACTCTGAGACTTCACATAAGGTTCTACTTTCATCATTTCTAACTAATCATATACATTTATTTGTTTGTCATTTCTAACTAATCATATACATTTACTTGTTCATTTGTTTGTTTTGTTTTTTACCATCACCACTCCCAAAACCCTGCATTGGCTACCCTATCCAACCATCTGGCTGAGGATCTCAGAGTGGATTTTTGATTTAATCTAAATGGTCTCAACTTTCCTCTATTTCTTCTTTTTATCAAAATGATTTTCCCTTATGTTCTCTTCCCTAATATCTCATTAGAAAGTAATTCTAGCTAAGACATTTGTGACTGACAATGGTAAAGCATACTTATTCTTTCAGACCAAGTTTTGTTTGAACAGAAGTCTTTTTTTATTTTGGATTCAGGTGGTACATGTGCAATGTTATTACATGAGTACATTTTGCTTGATGCTGAGGTTTGGGATATGAGTGGTCCCATCACCCAGGTGCTAATAATAGTAGTCAATAAGTGTTTAATCAACTCACACACCCCTCTCACTCCCCATCTAGTAGTCCCCATTTTCTGTTGTTCCCATATTTATGTCTACATGTTATAATGTTTAGCTCCCACTTATCAGTGAGAATATGTGGTATTTGGTTTTCTCTTACTGCATTAATTCACTTAGGATAATGACCTCCAGCTGAATCCATGTTGCTCTAAAGGAGATGATTCTTTTCTTTTTTATAGCTATGTAGTGTTCCATGGCATATATATATACTACGTTTTCATTATCCAGTCCACCATTGATGGACAGCTAGATTGATTTATCTCTTTGCTGTTGTGAATAGTTCTGTGGTGCATGTGTCTTTTTGATAGAATGAATTATTTTTCCTTTGAATATATAACCAGTAACGAAATTACTGGGTCAAATGGTAGGTTTATTTTAGGTTACTTGAGAAATCTCTGAACAGATTTTTTTGATAGTGGCTGAACTAATTTTCATTCCCACCAACACTGTATAAGTGGTCCCTTTTCCCCACAGCCTTGCCAGCTTCTGCTATGTTTTATTTTTTAATAATTGCTATTCTTACTAGTGTGAGATGGTATCTATCTCATTGTGGTTTTGATTTTCATTTTCCTTATGCTTAGTGGTGATGAGCACTTTTTCATATGTTTATTAGCCACTTGTACGTTTTCTTTTGAAAAGTGTCTGTTCATGCCCTTTGCCCATTTGTGAATTGGAATATTGGTTATTTGCTTGTTGATTTAATTTCCTTATAGATTCTGGATATTAGACATTTGTCAGATGCATAGATTGAAAATATTTGCTCCCATTTTTTAGGCTGTCAGTTTAACCTATTAGTAAGGATTATTTTCTTTTCTTCTGACAGAAACTTTTTAGCTTATGTAGGTCCCACTTGTCAGTTTTTGTTTTTGTTGCAGTTGCTTCTGAGACTTAGTCATAAATTATTTGCCAGAGCCAACATGAAGAAGGATATTTCCTAGGTTTTCTTCTAGGATTTGTATATTTTAAAGTCTTCTATTTAAATATTTAATCCATATTGAGCTAATCTTTGTATATGGTGAGAAATAGGAGTCCAGATTTATTCTTCTGCATATGGCTTGCCAGTTATCCCAGAACCATTTATTGACTAAAAGTCCTTTTCTCATTGTTTATTTGTGAAAAATAAATCAGATGGTTGTTTTTGAGTTTTTTATTCTATTCTATTGGCCTAGGTGTCTATTTTTGTACCAGTATCATGTTGTTTTGGTTACTGTGGCCTTATGGTATAGTTTGAAGTTTAGTAATGCAACGCCTCTGGCTTTGTTTTTGTTTGTTTGTTTTGTTTGTTTGTTTTTTTGATTAGAATTGCTTTTGCTATTTGAGCTCTTTTTTGGTGCCATACAAATTTTAGGATAGATTTTTTCTAATTATATGAAAAATGATGTTGGTATATGTATAAGGATATTGAATCTGTACAATGCTTTGGGCAATATGGCCATTTTCATGATACTGATTCTTCCAAATCAGCATGGAATGTTTTTAAATTTATTTGTGTTGTCTCTGATTTCTTTCAGCAGGGTCTTCTAGTTTTCCTTGTAGAGATCTGTCACCTCCTTGGTTAGCTCTATTCTTAGATATTTTATCTTTTTGTTGTGACTATTGTAAATAGAATTGTGCTCTTGATTTGGCTCTCAGCTAGACTATTATTGATGTATAGAAATGCTACTAATTTTTGTACATTGATTTTATATCCTGAAACTTTACTGAGGTTGTATATCAGTTCCAAGAGCCTTTTGGAAGAGTCTTTAGGGTTTTCTAGACATAGAGTCATGTCATCTGCAAAGAGGGATAGTTTGACCTTTTTTCCCTTCTACTTGGATGCCTTTTATTTCTTTCTCATTGCTCTGGCTAAGACTTCCCATGCTGTATTGAATAGGAATGGTAAGAGTAGGCATTATTATCTTCTTCCACTTATCATGGGAAGCGGTTCCAGTTTTTGCCTATTCAGTATAATATTGGCTATGTGTTTTTCATAGATTGCATTTATTATTTTGAGGTATGTTTCTCCAGTGCATGGCCTGTTGAGGGTTTTTATCATGAAGGAAGGCTGGATTTTATCAAATACTCTTTCTGCATCTATTAAGATGATCATTTGGTTTTTGGTTTTGATTGTGTTTGTATAGTGAATTACATTTATTGATATGCATATGTTGAAGCAAGTTTGCATCCCAGGAATAAAGCCTACTTGATCATGTTGAATTAACTTTTCGATGTGTTGCTGTATTCAGTTTGCTAGTATTTTGTTGAAGATTTTTGCATCTATGTTTACTAGGGATATTGGCCTGAAGTTTTCTTTTTTCATTGTGTCTTGGCCAGATTTTGATATCAGGATGATGCCTGCTTCAAATAATGAGTTAAAGAGGAATCCTTGCTCCTTGATTTTTTGGGAATAATTTCGGTAGGATTAGTATCAGTTCTTTTTACATCTGGTAGAATTTGTCTGTGAATCCCTCTGTTTCAGGACTGGTTTTGGTTGGCAAGTTTTTTTAATTACTGATTCTATTTTGGAAGTTGCTATTGGTCTTGTCAGGTTTTCATTTTCTTCCTGGTTTAATCTTGGGAGGTTGTGGGTTTTAATGCCTGAGACAAATGGATGAAATAATATATAATTCTTTCTTCGTGGAAATTCTTTTTCGTTTTACAAAGCAATACATTTAATGAAATAAAAAACTAGCTTGCCATTGTTATCGCTACTTTCCCTGTATCATCCACTTGTTGTCCAAGTTCAATCATACAATATTGATTGGTTGTGCTATGTTTTGTGTAAGATTTTCACTGTCTTGTGTATAGCAGTTCAGTTAGAACGAGGCCTCCATGACCAATGAGCTATATAGCAACAGTGAAGCCTCAGCTGAATTTAGTTTTGGAGCAGACAAAAGAAAGGGCTAGTATAGAATGAAAGGGTATATGAGAGACGTAAGTTCAGACTGGGATCCAAGAATTACACTTGACTTAAACTGAATATTTTAATTAATTAAAGATATATATATTTCTGGTATATAATGTGATGTTTTGAAATATGTACACATGGAATAGCTAAATAATACTAATTACCTCATGCATTACCTCGTATATTTATGAATTTTGTGGTTAGAGTACTTATCATCTACTCTCTTAGCAATGTTCATAATCTATTGTATTGATTATGGTGACCATGATGCACAATAGATCTTTTGAATTTATTCTTCCTTACACTTAAATTGAAAAGAAACCTAAGGCCATGCATTTCCATTTTTAGGTTAAAATGCTTGCATATTCTAGGGTATTACCATCTATCATTTTTAATGTATAATTCTGTATCTTTTTTGTTTAAATATTATTGGACTATTTCTAATCAATGTGTAGTAGCTGCCTATATTCACTACCACATCAAATACATGTAATTCAATTACATTAATCATTCATAGCATATTTATTCCATCAAATTCACCATGTTATTAAAGCACATAGTCAGGATTTGGCTTTTGTAATGCATGTATTTTATTAGTTTGAGTCATAGTTTTTTTTTAATTTTCAATTATTAAAATATTTCTAAATAGTAGACAGAGGTTATCAGATGATTATTCTTATTGGAAATTTTGTTTTTTCTATTTTACACAGAAGTTTAATATAATAAAGAATTAGCTTGCCACATTTATCACTACTTTTCCTTGTATCATTCCACAGTTGTTAAACTTCAAGAATCTCAAAAGTTATTTTTGATATCAATCTTTTATATTAGCTTTCCGGCCCTTTTGATATTATTACATCTTTCATGTATTTTTTTCTCCCTTCATCTGTGATGTTGCTAATTATCATCTTCCTCAAAATTTTGGATACTTTTATACAATATTACTTGAAGTGTAGTCCCTTAAAAATGAATGTTTGTCATTTAACCAAAACTACATTATTTTTGAAAATATGTTTTTTTTTTTTTTTTTCACAGAATCTTACTCTGTCGCTAGGCTGAAATGCAGTGATATCATCATGGCTCACTGCAGCCTTGACCATCTGGGATCAAGCAATCCTGCCTCCTCAGCCACCCAAGTAGCTGGGATCACAGGTGCTGCACTATACCCGGCTAACTATTTATTTTTTTGTAGAGATAGCCTATGTTGCCCAAACTAGTTTCAAACTCCTGGTCTCAAGTGATCATACCATCTGAGCCTCCCAAAGTACTGGGATTACAGGCATGTGCCACTGTGTCTGGCCAAAAGATAGGTTTCAAAAATTTACATTTAGGAAAAGTTAAACAAATTTCCTCTTGGGAGGGCTTCTACCAACCCTAATCGAATATCCATTTTGAATTATTGATGCAGATATGCAGCACCAACAATTGTCAAGATAATAGATATATCCTACAGCACGGACTGCAGACATGGGGAAAGACTGAATCTTCATCAGTAGTTGGGCAATTGTTACCCTAAGGAAAGCAATCAATCATGAGAATTTAATTAGATTGTTCATTATTGGAAATAAGAAGGGGAGAAAATTCAAGTCATTAAGAAAGTACACCAAAAAGAAACAGAACAGTATAGATTTTTGCCAATGATAATGAAAGCAAGACAGAGACTAGCTTGAGAAATGAGGTATATGGTAGAGACATTAAGAAAAATAAGAAAAATAGGAGGAAGAGAACTTTTGGTAAGAGAAGATGAAACTTCAGATATAAACTTGTTTTTTATTACTTGTAAGATATCCAAGAAAGAAAATGATTGAACGGATCCAGAGAGTAATCTAAAAAGGCAGACCCTATTTGGCTATAATTATATGGAGGTAACAATATCTTAGAAGTAGCCATGCTCATCCAAGGGAAAAAAATGAGTGAGAAGATGGGACTAATGGTCACTGGAGGGAAATATAGAGGATGCCTAATGTATACAATATGTATATGACGTAACAGTAAAACCCAGTTTCTGTGTTTGTGTGGGTTTCACAACCAGGAACAGTAGTAATAACCAGAAATTCAACTTGCTTAACATCAAATTTAATGATTATTAGAATGTAGAATTTAAACTGGCTCTTAAAAATAATTTTCAAGTTCTTCTTTTTGTCTCCAAAATTAAATCTTAATAGAATCTTGGAAGTTTTATAAAATGTGGAACACTAACACTCCACTAATATAAATCACTGTTTTTTGAAATTTTCAATGTTTTATTATTTTAAAATATTTTTACTGAATAGCATGCTGTATAATCATGGTGCAGATTTTTTCAGATCCAATCTTGGTGTTGCCACTCCATTGGTTGTATCATCTAGGAGCCCAGAATATTGAGAAAAATTATATACATTATGTGAAAGTTAAATATGATATACTTGTTATGCATTTAAATGATAATTATCTTATTTTTATCAGTAGACAGTTTAAGACACAGCTTTCATAAAATATAGTCAAAAAGCACAATAAAGTCATTGTTATAATCTGTTTCACATTTATGAAAGAGAAACTGAATTCTTAAATCTTACCAGGACCCCAAATTAGATATTATACTATGCCTAGGGGAAGGAAAGCTAAAACAGAATTAAACAGTGAATTTTATATGAAGGAACTACTAAAGTAATGTGAAAGAGATTGTGATTTTTAACTAGACAGTGGTTCTTTCATGTATATATTGTGTAATTTGCCTCAAATAAGTTTTTATTTTTCTTAATTGGATGAAAAAGTGAAATATTTTATCATCAGAAGCCAAGTTTACCTCTGCATTGAACGAAATGCAGCTATGGGTTCTCAGAGGTATCTCAGTGTATTTCTGTAAAAGCATTTTAAGAGACAGAAGGCATAGCCATGCAAATAAGATGAAGGAGAAAACCTTGCTTTCCCCTGCTTATCTACTTTTTCTGCAACTATCGTTTTTTTCTTTTTTTTTTTTTCCAAAAGATGGTAGTCATGGATATGGAAGTTGGGCTTAGTTAACCGTAAATCATCTATGCAATGCCAAAACATGCAGTAAGAGTGAAAATTTGGTTTATCACCCCAAACATGTAAGTGCTTTTTGGTGTGTCCTTGCTATGGTTTGAATATTTGTTCCCTCTAAATGTCATGTTGAAATTGAATCCCCAATGTGGCAGTATTGAGAAATGAGTACTTTAGGAAGTAATTGGATCATATAGGCTCTCCCACCATGAATGGTCAATTACATTCATGAATTAGTCCACTGGGTTAATAGGTACTTACGGGTTGGGAAATGGTGGCTTTAAAAGAAGAAGAGATACCTGAGCTAGCATGTTAGGACATGGGCATATTCAGACTCTTACTATGTGATACTCTGTACTGCCTCAGGACTCTGCAGAGAGTCATTGACAGCCAGAAGGTTCTTATCAGATGCAGCCCTTTGACCTCAGGCTTCTCAGTCTCCATAACTGTAAGAAGTGAATTCCTTTTGTTTACAAATTACCTAGTTTCAAGTATTTTGTTATAGGCAACAGAAAATGGACTAAGACAAGAAATTGGTACTGAAAATGTGTTGTCATAAAGCCAGGACACCCCTCAGGGTTCCCTTTCTTCACATCTATCCACTTGCTCTTTGACCTTCTATGTTGTATTGTGAGGCAGAATGAATGCTCTCACCAAAAATCAAAACCATGCCACTAAACTTCTCAGCCTGAAGAACTTGAAGCTAAATAAACTTATTTTCTTTAACAATTTCTAAGTCTCAGGTATTCTTTTATAGCAAAACAAAATAGAGTAAGACAGTCTGCTATGATAGTTCTGCTTTTTTGCATTATGGCAATTATTTGATCATTTGTATTTCCAAAGTAATTTAGTAAATTGATAAATATGTATTGAATATTTTTAAGGAAATTACTCTAGAAGGCAATATAGAAAAATGAAGCAGACCCTGATTTCTTTTTCTTTTTCTTTTTTTTTTTTTTGAGACAGAGTCTCGCTCTGTACACCTCCTGGATTCACGCCATTCTCCCACCTCAGCCTCCCGGAATCAGACACTGATTTCAAACTTAATAATTATATTTTCCCCCAGTAGATATGTGAAATGTATATAAACAATTACAATAACAAAATATGGCCAAGATGCCCTGATAGAAGTGTGTATTAAGTAACAGACATTTTGAGAGAAGAGATATTGTCTTCTGTGTTTATTGGAGGAGGAAGAGAGAAGACATTGAATATGTCCATAAAAAGAAGATAGATATCAGCTGAATTTGAAAAAAGTAATAACACACATAAAGAGGGTATTCTGAGCATTACAGACATGGCCAACATTCTAATCAAATACTGTTGTTGAGGAATTGACAAATTTCTAAAATATTTTAATGGTTTCTATTAACTATCAAATTACCTTTAAGGCATTTGAGATTTACTGATACTCAAGATTCTCTGTAAGCTAGTCTGAAAAAATGAAAACCATCCTTGCCACCCTACAATTCCTGTTTTTTACCTTCTACACCTTATTTCTGATGTTGTTTCCTCATATTATCATTTCAACATAATCGTATCTGAATTTTGTCAAGTTATAAACCAGTGTCTGAATATGTAAAACACTACTACTGCTTTTTCATTTTGCTTGTTCTGGAGCCTCCTAGTTTTAAGTAGCCAGCAACTAGCCACTGTCATTTATCTGGATTTAGGACCTATTTATCACTCCTAGAATATGCAAATATTTACATCTTTGACTGAATCACTATTTAATTTACCTAACTCAGAAAGTGCACCCACTTATCCAAAGATCCTGGCTTACACACATCTGCTGAGCACTTGCTTATAGATAACCCTGAGGTTGTCAAAGGCAAGAGGTCAAAGTAGATGGTTCTCTCTTGTGTCAGTATTTATAAAAACACTTGACAAATTCTGTTACACTAAAATGCAAGAGGGGTAAATGTAATAGTAGATATAGAAGATCGTATTGCAACCTAGCTTTGTCTGACCAGTTCAGTTGCCTTTAACTTTGTTTGTTATGGAAATATAAATATTTGGGACAAATTTAAATGGAATTGAGATAATAATAGTTAATGGTTCAGTTTTGCTCAAAAGCTATCTCTGGAAGATGAAAAGGAAGACAATAACACCTGTCTCAAATAATTATTATAATAATGTATCCATATGTTTGAATATTTATTTTGATTATAGGTTTCTTCTAGTAATTTTATTTGTGGTAACTTATGAGGATACTATGATGGGTACTAAATAATTTTCTGTAGTTTTGGACAAAATTCTATTTCATAAATACTTTTAAGTTGCCTCTGTGATGTATCAATTCAATATAATTTTTATACCCAGAAATAAAAGTATGTTAAATTTTCTTCTGAAATGCGGATACTAGGTGGACAGAAAAAATAGCACATTTATATATTAAAAAAACAAATAAACCAACTTTGGTGTTGGTAAGAGAGTACATGGGACGAAAGTAGAATTAAAAAGAATGCAGTTAATTAGATCCAAAGCGTCCGGAGGCCATTTCAATTAACCTAGGTCTGAATGATCTAAGTGCAGAATTTATTTTTTTCTTGCTAGATTAGATAGAAGATGTAAGAATTTGTTAGAACATTTTTTTTCTGTTGTAAGCAATAGTCACATAGAAGTGCTATAATCCCTCAGAATTTTCATTCACTGATCATTTAAATGCTATAAACCACAGTAAGATAAATAGAGCTTTGAATTGCTTTAATGGATGTTCGCAATAGGGTGAAAAATAAGATTAATTCAATAAATATTCACTTAGAATCGACTTCATGCTGTAGACACATAATTTTTTAAAAAATGTTACTAGTGAGATGCTCACAGTCTATTGAAAAAGAAGACACATATACAAATAATTGCAGAATTTGATATTATTGAGGTCAAATCTTCAAACTTTGTTTTTACAGATTCTTTAATAAAGAAATGCTGGTTTCAAGCTTCCTTCCAAGACATATATTTAAAATAAGTAACATGTTTCCTGTATATGGCTCCATGCTAGGATTCAAAGTGTGGTTCAGTGTTTCTGTGTGTCCCTAAACTTTCAGGATCTCTGCAAGCTTAAAACTAATTTTATAATAATACTAGAACAAAATAATCTGACTGCCTCATTCTCATTCTTTTGTAAATAAAAAAGCTACATCACTACAGATTGAATGCAGGAGTAAATGAAAATCTAGCTGTCTTCTATTAAGACAGACATTAAAGAGATTTAGAAATGTAAAAGAGAGCTACTTTTCACTAATTTTTACTGTCTTAAAAAAGATGGCTGTATTTTATAAAGTTGTATTCATATTCATATTTTATAAAAATGTATTAACATGTAATAGACGTATGATTGATATTTTAAATCATTTATTTAAAATAAGATTTCCAGTTTTAATTTCTAACTGTGGTCTTCAAAAATTGTTAAGCGTGTAAAGAAGCAATGAGAACCAAGACTTGAGATCATAGCTATGCATCACCAGCTTTTCAACTTTTCAGCTTTCAATCAAGAATGCTGTTGCCCAAGTTTATGTGTATAATTTTGTGTGTCAATTCAGAAGGCTTATTAATTCTGTTTTGGGAATAGGGGAAGGAAGTATCACAGATATGCTAGTGCATCATCTCAGTAAGCTGGTCCTGATCAGTTACTAGCTACATCTTAGTCTGTGTAAATATTGTGTATATCATTCTTGCCTCTAAGCATTTTATGAAATACATTTATTAGGGAAAAAATGACCAAGAGATTTAGTGTTTATTATTTTTGGTATTAGAATGGTATTATATATTTTAAAGTAGGAGAATATCATGATTAGATTCCATTTTAGAAAAATTCAGGTCTGTAAAGCAGTGTGATATTTATGTTAGGCTACAGAAAAAATGAGTTACAGATAAAAAGTAGTGTCTAATTCACTCATGTCTGAATTAAAGCTGGCATAGTAGGGATGAGGAGGAAAATATAATTCATCAAATATGTGAGAGTTGAAATAAACAAATATGATAACTGGTTCTTGATAAATTGAATACCTGGTGGCCATCTATAGAAATTAAGAGGGAAGATTTAATGCAATCATGGCCAAAACTACATTGATTAAAAAGAAAGTCTGTTTACACATTTACATAAAACTGGATATAGAGCAAGGTATTGGGAAGTATATTAGTTTATTCTTACACTGCTATGAAGAAATATTCATGACTGGATAATTTATAAAGAAAAGAGGTTTAATTGACTCACAGTTCCGCATGGCTGCGAAGGCCTCAGGAAACTTAAAATCATGGTGGAAGGGGAAAAGGAAACATTCTTCTTGATGAGGCGGCAGGAGAGAGAAGTGCTGAGCAAAGGGAGGAAAAGCCCCTTATAAAACCATTAGGCCTTGTGAGAACTTACTGTCATGAGAACAGCATGAGGTTAACCATCCCTACGATTCAATGAACTCCCACTGGGTCCCTTCCATGACACCTGGGGATTATGAGATTGGGGTGGGGACATACCAAATCGCATCATATCAAAGCAAATCAATCCATCCCTGCCACCTCCCATATCTCATATTCTCACATTTCAAGACACAATAATGCCTTTCCAACAGTCTCCCCAAACCTTAGCATTAACCCAAAAATTCCAGCATTAACCCAAAAGTCCAAAACCAAAGTCTAATATGAGACAAGGCAAGTCCTTTACACCTATGAGCCTGTAAAATCAAAAGCAAGTTAGTTACCTCCTAGATACAATAGGGGAACAGGCATTGGGTAAATACACCCATTCCGAATGGGAGAAATTGGCCAAAACAAATGGGCTACAGGCCCCATAAAAGTCTGAAATCCAATAGGTTAGTCATTAAACCTAAAAGCTCCAAAATGATCTTCTTTGAATCCATGTCTTACGTCCAGGTCATGCTGATGCAAGAGGTTGGCTCCCACAGTCTTGGTCAACTCTGCCCCTGTAGCTTTGCAGGGTACGATTCCTCTACAGGCTGTCTTCACAGGCTTTGCACTGAGTTTCTGCAGCTTTTCCAGGCACATGGTTCAAGCTGCTGGTGGATTTACCATTCTGGGGTCTGGAGGACGATGGCCTTCTTCTCACAGCTCCACTAGGCAGTGTCCCAGTGGGAGCTCTGTGTGGATGCTTCTACCCCACATTTTCCTTCTGCACTCCCCTACCAGAGGTTCTCCATGAGGGCTGCACCCCAGTAGCAAACTTCTACCTGGACATCCAGGCATTTCCATATGTCCTCTAAAATCTAGGCAGAGGTTCCTAACCCTCAATTCTTGACTTCTGTGCAACCAGAGGCCAAACACTGCATGGATGTTGCCAAGGCTTGGGAGTTACACCACCTGAAGCAACAGCCTGAGCTGTATTTTGTGCCCTTTTAGCCATGGTTGGAGCTAAAGCAGCTGGGATGCAATGAACCATTTTCCAAGGCTGCACAGAGCAGGGAGGCCCTGGTTCCAGTCCACAAATCCATTTTTTCCTACTAGGCCTTCAGGTCTCTGATGGGAAGAGCTGCCATGAACGTCTCTGACATGCCATAGAGACATTTTCCCCATTGTCTTGGTGAATAACATTCCATTCTTTGTTAATTATGCAAATTTCTGCCACAGGCTTGAATTTCTCCCCAGAAAATGAGTTTTTCTTTTCTATTGCATCATCAAGCTGCAATTTTTCTAAACTTTTATGCTCTGCTTCCTCTTGACCACTTTGCTACTTAGAAATTTCTTCCACCAACTGCACTCCAGCCTGGGTGACAGAGTGAGACTATCTCTCAAAAAAAAAAAAAAAAGGAAAAGAAATTTATTCTGCCAAATATGTTAAATCATCCGTCTGAAGTTCAAAGTTCCACAGATCTTTAGGGCAGGGGCAAAATGCTGCCTAGTCTCTTTGCTAAAACATAGAAAGTCATCTTTATTCCAGTTCCCAACAAGTTCCTCATCTCCATCTGAGACAACCTCACTATCAGCATTATGGTCAAAGCCATTCAACAAGTTCCTAGGAAGTTCCAAACTTTCCCACATCTTTCTGTCTTCTTCTGAGCCCTCCAAACTATTCCAACCACTTCCTGTTACGCAGTTCCAAAATTGCTTCTATATTTTCAGGTATCTTTACAGCAGCAATGCACTCTGTGCAGTACCAATTTACTGTATTATTTGTTCTCATGCTGATAATAAAGACAGACCCAAGACTGGGTAACTTATAAAGAAAAAAGGTTTAATTCACTCACTGTTTCACATGGTTGGAGAGGCCTCAGAAAACTTAAAATTGATGGAAGGGGAAGCAAAAACATTCTTCTTGACAAGGTAGCAGGAGAGAAAAGTGCTGAACAAAGGGGGAAGAGCCCCATATAAAACCATCCAATCTCATGAGAACTCACTCACTATTATGAGAACAGCATGAGGGTAACTGCCCCCATGATTCATTACCTCCCACCAGGTCCCTCCCATGACACATGGGGATTTTGAGAACTATGATTCAAGATCAGGTTTGGGTGAGGACACACCCAAACCATATCAGGAAGGTAGGACAATTCCAACTCCTTATATTTAAATATTCTTGGATATGTTCCTATGTTCCTTGACTTCTATGGTATCCAGGCTTTATTTTTAAAGTGGAGTTTATAATACTAATCTAATTAGCAACATTAACCTAATAAATAGATAAATATATAGCTAAATATAAATTATTAATTGTGTGAAATAATAACAATTACATCTGTTATTTGGCATTTTAAGAAGACTAAATTTCTAGACCAAAATAAAATAAAAGGGGAGGATATGTAGTCCAACATATAATAATAGTTTTTGAGATAAGGGTAGGAATATTGTTTAACTCTGAATTTCATGATATATGAATGTTAAGTCTCATGGGCAACTACTACTTGTATAATTTCCAATTTGTTAAAAAAAGAAGGAAAGGAGTAAAAGCCCACGATCAATGGCAATAACAATGAAAAAAGTAAACAGAAAATGCAGCATGAAGATAAAGAGACAAGAAATTTAACGAATATACCAGTAATTACAACTAGGACAATTAATTACACTTCCCTCCTCTCAAAACACAAAGATTTTAAGACTAGATGTAAAAGAGAAAGACAACCGTATGCTGCATATGAGAAACCTCGAAATGTCAGAGTACAGATGGAGTAAAAAAATGATAGGAAAAAGATACAGGCAGCTCCACTCCCTTGGTAAGTTGTCAATAGTCTATGTATTTTTCCGTGATGCATATATTGATTCAACATGAGTTTGTGAGATTCTTCTATATTAACGCAGTTTGGGAGATACAATATTTAAGTGCTGTGCTGTTTAGGATTGTAGAAATATGTGAAAAAATTATAAGTGATTAACTTATTAAAGGAATTAAAATCAAAGATGCCTACATCTTTAAAGGCTGAAAGATGATTGAATCAAGGAGCTCTTCATGGGGACCTCCAAAGAGTGGGTTTGTTTTTTCAGCTAAGAGTATTTATTTTATTACTATGTAAATTTACTCAAAAATATTAAATATTATGCTTTATATTAAATATACATTCGCTTAGTTAACGTTGTAGATCTACATAGATTTTAATTGCTAAAAATAATCATAGTCATTTTATTATGGTGTTAAAATATATTTGTGAATGTCAGTGAAAATGATGGAGTAGGCTGCTCCAATTACCTGTTCTTCTACAGAAACATAAAAAAAAGGAAAAGAAATTGGCCTGGTGTTGTGGCTCACGCTTGTAATCCCAGCACTTTGGTAGGCTGAGGCGGGTGGATCACGAGGTCAGGAGTTCAAGACAAGCCTGGCCAACATGGTGAAACCCTGTCTCTACTAAAAATACAAAAATTATCTGGGCATGGTGGCACGTGCCTATAGTCCCAGCTACTCAGGAGGCTGGGGCAGGAGAATAGCTTGAACCCAGGAGGCGGAGTCTGAAGTGAGCCAATACTGTGCCACTGTACTCTAGCCTGGGCGACAGAGCAAGATTCAGTCTCAAAAAATTAAAAAAAAACAAAATAGAAAAAAAAAGAAAAAAATTGAGCATTAACTAGTAGAACTAACTTTGTCAAAATTCTGGAAAACAGTCGAAGGTTTGTAGCACTCAAGTAAATACTGAATCAAAGCAATGGTCATTTTAAAATGGTAGGAAAGCTCCATGGGATTTTTACTTGCGCTTGTTGGGCTCCCTCCCCAGATGACAGATGAAACATTACCCTTTGACAAGCACTGCCCGCTGGTGTAGCTGTAGAAATTGACATGTAAAACATAGCAACTTGGAATATCATTTCATTCAAGCAGTACAATGTATGACATTGTTTTCATATTAAAAATAATGCCAATAGATTACTGAAGTGCTTCCCATCTTGCTAAGTCATAAGAATATGGCAAAGTTAGTTGACATTGACAAATAGGACTTCTACCTGATGATTTTTGAGATTTGGGAATTATAAAACTTTAGGAAAAAATTATTGTATCAAGACATAGAAAATACAATTTATCTACATTTTCACTTTTAATTATAAGCCACTAAAATATCTCTTTCAATTTAAGGAGAGGTCTCAGTGGTTTCCTCATATTCTTGAAGTTAAAAAAAGCATTTATCCTGTTCTACTTTTAAGAATGGTTAGGTTGAATGATTTGTTAAGTACAAGTCTAGATAATCATCCACCATACCTCACCTCCCAGAATAATATGGCAAATTATTTAGCTTACAACTTGCTATATTAACTTTTTATATATACACATATGTGTGTATATATATGCATCTACATATATATGTGTATATGTGTACATATTTTACTAATTTTCTCATTCTCTTGAAGAGTAAACACTTTGGGATATAAATTAAAGTTGTCATATGTTAGCCAATTATATTTACTGATAATTATTTTTGAACATATATTCATATTATATTAGTTTAAATGAAAGTTTCTCGAACTTAGCTACTCTCACAACTCTTTAGGTTGGAGGCAAATATTGAAACTTGTTATTTTGTATACATTTTTGAAGATAATTTTTGACTTTCTTTACAAATCAAAAGAAAAAAAGCAAAGCTTAGGTTTGGAAAAATGGTTTAGGGTGACAAATAAAATTCTGAACTTGAACTTGCTTTCATACTCTGAATTATAAAATGAATTTATTTTACAACTATTATGAGGAAACAAATTCTCCAAAACATAAATCTAACAAATCAGTTTCCAAAATAATTCTGAAAATGTCAATTGCTTTGCGAGATGAAATTATTTCTTGCCAGATGAGACTATTATGCTTTGTTTGATGGTTTGTATTTTAAGAGTCTTTTCCAAAAATGTACCAATTTTAGCATGTTATTAATTAACCATTATTTAGTCAGATTACCTATCCTTATTTGGAGATACTCAGACAATAAAAATAACAGCTGGGGGAAGATGAATATGTTAAGCAATTCAGTAATTAGGTTACTTTTTGTCTTCATGACCACTATAATGTAAACCTTATGAAGGCAAGAATTGCTTTGTATAATGTAAATATTTTTTTTGCAGGTACGTCTCCAGGGCCTAGTTGAAAACATTTATTGGTTGAATAAATGAATGATAAATGTAGAACAAAACTAATTTCATACAGAAGCTATTTTCTCATCATTATTATTATTCTTCCTTAAGATTTCATTGTAAACATATCCCCAGCTAGTATTCCTAAAGAAATCCAGATGAACAACTAGAAAAAGATATGCAATCTTCCAAATTTACTGCCAGACATTTGCATTGAGTAAGAATACCTGGCCGGGCGCGGTGGCTCGCGCCTGTAATCCCAGCACTTTGGGAGGCCGAGGCGGGCGGATCACGAGGTCAGGAGATCGAGACCATCCTGGCTAACACGGTGAAACCCCGTCTCTACTAAAAATGCAAAAAATTAGCCGGGCGTGGTGGCGGGCGCCTGTAGTCCCAGCTGCTCGGGAGGCTGAGGCAGGAGAATGGCGTGAACCCGGGAGGCGGAGCTTGCAGTGAGCCGAGATCGTGCCACTGCACTCCAGCCTGGGCGACAGAGCGAGACTCCGTCTCAAAAAAAAAAAAAAAAAAAAAAAAAAAGAATACCTATGTAAGTGTCTGAGAAAAGGCAAGTGGAGAGGGACTGCAATATATATTTCTGAGATTTGGCAGTAGTTTTATCAGTATGAATTTGGAAAATAAGGAATGAGGCACAACCGTTTGAGAAGATGTGAACCCAAACTTAAGACAACATATTAAAAGTGCCAGCAACATCGTCTTTAGTACTCCCCTTTTGATATATTTCTCCCATCCTTATACTCTATAGATGGCTTTACTTATATATGAAGAAAGAGGTGTTTTCTGTGGAACATGACTGGTTTAGTTTGGATTACAAAAGCTTGAGAAAGCTTCTTTCTCAAAAAATAGTTT